>NC_000001.11:244214424-244365939 GCF_000001405.40 Homo sapiens | reverse complement strand
TTGAAGAAAGAGCGAAACAGCTCCTTAGTTTCCATCTGTGCCGTCAGCTCTCATCAGAGGAAGCACAGGAGCAGTTTGTTTTCCCACAAGCAGAGTAAAATGGTCCAATCCAAAATGTGGGCTTGGATTGCTCAGACTTCTCACTAAAGCTCTTCCCAAGCAAAAACCAATATCCTTCTGGTCTTTTGGGAATTTGGAGTTGCCTGTTTGCTTGGATTCTGCAGTGAGTGTGAGGCTTCTTTTTCTTACAACTTTCCCTAAACCCAATGTGGAGGCTAGAGCAACTCTATGTTGGATGCTAATTCACCATGTTGGCTTCTGATTAACCCCTTGTATTAGCCCATTTTCATACTGCTATGAAGAAATACCCGAGACTGGGTATTTTATAAAGAAAAAGAGGTTTAATGGACTCACAGTTCCACACGGCTGGGGAGGCCTCACAATCATGGCAGAAGGCAAAGGAGGAGGAAAGGCATGTCTTCCATGGCGGCAGGCAAGAGAGTTTGTTCAGGGGAACTCCCACTTATAAAACCATCAGATCTCGTGAGACTTATTCACTGTCAGGAGAACAGCATGGGAAAACCCCACCCCATGGTTCAGTTACCTCCCACCAGGTCCCTCCCACGACACGTAGGAATTATGGGAGCTACAATTCAAGATGAGATTTGAGTGGAGACACAACCAAATCATATCACCCCAGGCCTCTAAGATTTCCAGTTTCTCTATAGTTCCTGGTGTCAGAGCAGGTACTTACTGTAAGTTCTGCCCTTCGGCCAAACAACATTGGTGTTATCGTACTTCAATTGTCCCATATATCCCTTCTGTATCACTCTTCCCCTATGGTATCTAAATCCTGGGTCTCAGGGGTAATGGCGCAGACATCCACCATCTCATCTCACTGCTACCCGAGACACATATATGGCTTCTGTTCGTAAGTCCCTGTTAAATATTTCTTTGTAAGAAACTGGATTTGTCAGCCTCTTTCTTCGGCGTCTCAGCTTCCTCTGACTTTTGCCGGTAGGTTTGCACAGACCTGCTCATCAGGAAATATCCAAAGAGCTTCCCTAGAACTCCCTGGCAGTAGTCTCTGGACCACTGAGCAGCAGGATGTGCAATTCTAACTCCCCAGGCACCTGGCTGCCTGGCTTCAGTCCCGGAGGCTGTGCATCTGGAAGAACTATACCTTGGCGGGATCACTGGGCGACGCTCAATAAATTCTCGTAGTCGGATGGCAGTCATGATGGATGGGAATCTGAAAAAAAATTATGGCATAAAGGATTATATTGCCAGTTTATACATAATTCCATGGGTGAGATATCTAGTACCACAAAGTCCATCTTGAAAGAAATCAGTAAAAATATTTGACATGGTAGAAGGACTATGCATATAGGCTATTTAGGGAAGGAAATACAAGATTAGAAAGGAGCAAAAAGAAATGGCAAGCATAAGGCAAATACACACAGATGTGCTTTTCTTTAAAAACCAAAAGTAAAAAAAAATTAAATAAGTATAAATCAATAAGAAAATAAAAAGCAGGCCGGGTGTGGTGGCTCACGCCTGTAATCCCAGCACTTTGGGAGGCTGAGGTGGGAGGATCACGAGGTCAGGAGATCGAGACCATCCTGGCTAACACGGTGAAACCCCGTCTTTACTAAAAATACAAAAAAAGTAGCCGGGCCTGGTGGCGGGCGCCTGTAGTACCAGCTGTTTGGGAGGCTGAGCCAGGAGAATGGTGTGAACCCGGGAGGCGGAGCTTGCAGTGAGCCAGGATCGTGCCACTGCGCTCCAGCCAGGGCCATAGAGTGAGACTCCGTCAAAAAAAAAAAGAAAAAGCAAAAGCAAAGGTACTGTGCTAATGTTAGCTGGGCATAGTCTCCTGTCTCACTTCATTGTTTTTTTGGTTTTGTTCTGATCAGTTGTGACCCAAGATCCTGTCTCATTTCTTAGTGGGCCTTCCTACCTCACAAGCTTGCAAGCTAAGCACGACATTTCCCAGAGTGCCTCACAACAAGAATCCCGGCTAGGAGTGAGCGCCCTTGCATCGGCTGTACTTGCTTGAGATTTGGAAGGTGGACATTAGGCAGAGGCTGCTGCCTTGATCTTCTCTACTGGCAAGCAAGGTTGTGGAGCATATGGCACTTTTCCAGCGTCTCATCTCCAGCTTTGGGGCATTCAAGAAGCAATTGTTGCGAAGGCAGTGGCTGAAGTCTGTGTCCCAGGGTTCAAATTCCAGCTTCCTAGGTGGCAGAGACAGTGGCGTTGGGAGTAGGTTCTTGAACTCAATACTCCTGGAAGCAGCTTCCTGATCTGGACTGACATAGCTTTACCAGTGATGGGTCAGTTTTGTGGAGATGTTCTAGATGCCTCCTGGGGGCCCCACCCAGAGCCTGTTCTTCCAGCCCTTCTGAGGATTTTTTGTAAGCCATTCATTCTCTATGTTAGCCCCCTTTCTGTTCCCCACTGACCCTAGACTAAACATATAGGTTGTTTCTAGTCTAAAATTTCATATCACATCTGATTGTTTGTTTGTTTTTCACAGGGCCTCACTCTGTCGCCTAGGTTGGAGTGCAGTGGCACAATCGTGGCTCACTGCCACCTCCACCTCCCGGGTTCAAACAGTTCTCCTGCCTCAGCCTCCTGAGTAGCTGGGATTATAGGCACCTGCCACCATGCCCAGCTAATTTTTGTGTTTTTAGTAGAGATGGGGTTTCACACCATGTTGGCCAGGCTGGTCTTGTACTCCTGACCTCAGGTGATCCACCCACCTCGGCCTCTCAAAGTGCTGGGATTACAGGCATGAGCCACCGTACCTGGCCCACATCTGATTATTTACTGGAGAATATGGCTTGCCACAAGCAAACTACTACATTTAAATAATCACATAAAGTGGTGAGACCCCAACTCTATGAAAAATACAACAACAAAAAAAAAAGCCTGGTGTGGAGGTGCATGCCTGTGGTCCCAGCTACTCAGGAGGCTGAGGCGGGAGGATCGCTTGAGCCCAGGAAGCGGAGGTTGCAGTGAGCCAAGATCACACCACTGCACTCCAGCCTGGGTGACAGTGAGACCCTGTCTCAAAAAAAAAAAAAAAAAAAAGTTCACAGGGAAAAGAGTAAACAATGAGAAGGAAAACTGAGTGGCTGGGGGACAAAGGCATACTTTTTACCATTTACCTTAGGAATTTTGCACTCTGCATATCTATTATGTATGCATAGACAGCTGGGCCTATGGTTTGCACAAACATGGCTAGTGGTGTAGCAGGAGAACATCGGACTGAGACCCATGTGACCTGCGGCAGGTCATTTTCCCACTCTCCACATTGATTACAATAGCTCTCTGGAGGGTTGAATGAGGCAAAGATGTGTGCGAGAGTGTTCTGTGTCCTTGAAAACATCTTTGAGAAAGGAGAAATGTGAGTTCCTATTGACAATCATGGATTATGTACCAGGTAACATGTATTAACTCCTATTAGCCTCCCAGCAACCCTACAGAGTTTTACTGCTATTTACTCCCAAGAAAATTGAGGTACTAAGAAGTTAAGTAACTTGTATGAGGTTACCAAGGAACCAGGGCTGGAACCCTCTGGCTGCAGAAATATTTATTTTAACTCTTAGCTCTATCAAAACAATCACAAGGCACCCAGACCATCAGCCAAAACAAAACTAGGACTATTCAGTAACCAGGAGACAGAAAGGACTGGAAAAAAAGAGTGTGTGATGTCTCCTCCTCTTCCCTTTCATAGACAACGGTTAACTCATTGCCTGCCGGCTGGCCAGCTGCTTTATTTCACCTGAGTGTGTTTTTCAAAGCAACTTGAAGATTTTAAACAGCATTACACTATAATGGAATAGTTGGCTATCCAACAGAGCCTAATCATTATATAATGTACTTTTACTGCTGTGATTATTTAAAAAAGAGAGAGAGAGAGAAAGAGAAAGAAGGAAGAAACAATGAGAGAGAAAATCTGAGTAAACACAGCTGAGCTCTTGGTTAATCTGCTAACCCGAACTCCGAAAGCTTCGTGACTGGAGTTTACTTCAGTGGAAGTGACAGGCTGGACAGAAGAATGCCAGGTATTCAGGGCTTTTGAGCTCCTAACAAAGACAGCCCCCACTATCCCTTTGAAGACAGAGTGAGTGCTCAGTGCCTAGAAATTCTGAATCAGTCTTGTAAGGGAATAAATCGGTCATGGGTTGCCATGCTTTTTTAACAAAAATTTTTATTTTTAATTATTATAGATATATAAGAGATGTATGTATTTATGGGGTACATGTGCCATTTTTATATAAGCATACAATGAGTAATGATCCAATCAGGGTAATGCGGGTGTCCATCACCTCAAGAATTTATCATTTCTTTGTGTTAGGAACATTCTAATTCCACTTTTTAAGTTATTTTGAAATGTAGAACAGGCCGGGCGCGGTGGCTCACGCCTGTAATCCCAGCACTTTGAGAGGCCGAGGTGGGCAGATGACTTGAGGTCTGGAGTTTGAGACCAGCCTGGCCAACATGATGAAACCCCGTCTTTACTAAAAATACAACAATTAACTAGGCATGGTGGCGCATGCCTGTAATCCCAGCTGCTTGGGAGGCTGAGGCAGGAGAATCCTTGAACCCAGGAGGCAGAGGTTGCAGTGAGCCGAGATCGAGCCACAGCACTCCAGCCTGGGCAACAGAGGAAGACTCCATCTCAAAAAAAAAAAAGAAAGAAAGAAAAAAAAGAAATGTACGATAAATTATAGACAATAGTCACCCATTGTGCTACCAAACACTGATCTTTTTTCTTCTAACTGTATTTTTGTTCCATTAACCATCCACCGTTTATTCCCTCTTCCCCACTCCCCTTCCCAGCCTCTGCTAACCATCATTCTACTCTCCGTCTCCGCAAGTTCAATTCCTTTTCTTCGACAAGTTCAATTTTTTTTCAAGCTCCCACATATTAGTGAGAACAAGCAATATTTGTCTTTCTGTGCCTGGCTTATTTTACTTGATATAATGTCCTCCAGTTCCCTTCATGTTGTTGTAAATGACAGGATTTAATGCTTTTTTTTTTTTTGAGACGGAGTCTCACTCTGTCACCCAGGCTGGAGTGCAATGGCGCAATCTCAGCTCACTGCAATCTCCGCCTCCCAGGGTGAAGCAATTCTCCTGCCTTAGCCTCCTGAGTAGCTGGGACTACAGGCACCTGCCATCATGCCCAGCTAATTTTTGTATTTTTGTAGAGATGGGGTTTCACCATGTTGACCAGGCTGGTCTTGGAACTCCTGACCTCAGGTGATCCTCCCGCCTCAGCCTTCCAAAGTGCTGGGATTACTGGCATGAGTCACTCTGCCCGACCGATTTCATGCTTTTTTATGGCTGAATAATATTCCATGCATGCATGTGTGTGTGTGTGTGTGTGTGTGTGTGTGTGTGTGTGTGTGTGTGTGTATATCACGTTTTCTTTATCCATTCATCCATTGATAGACACTTGGGTTGATTCCATAGCTTGGCTATTGTGAATAGTGCTGCAATAAACACAGGACTGCAGATATCTCTTTGATATAACAATTTCCTTTCTCTTCGATATATACCCAGCAGTGAGACTGCTGGATCATATGGTAGTTCTATTTTTAGTTTTTTGAGGAACCTTCATACTGTTCTCCATAGTGGCTGTACTAATTTACATTCCTACCAACAGCGTATGAAGGTTCCCCTTTCTCCACATCCTCAGTAGCATTCATCATTGCCTGGCTTTTGGATAAAAGACATTTGAACTGAGGTGAGATGATATCCCATTGCAGGATTCATTTGCATTTTTCTGATGATTAGTAATGTTGAACTTTTTTTTTTTAGATGGCGTCTCGCTCTGTTGCCAGGCTGGAGTGCAGTGGTGCGATGTTGGCTCACTGCAACCTCCGCCTCCCGGGTTCCAGTGATTCTCCTGCCTCAGCCTCCCGAGTAGCTGGGACTACAGGCACGCACCACCACGCCCAGCTAATTTTTTGTATTTTTAGTAGAGACAGGTTTTGCCATGTTGGCCAGGATGGTCTCAATCTCTTCACCTTGTGATCCGCCAGCCTCGGCCTCCCAAAGTGCTGGGATTACAGGCGTGAGCCACCGCCCCGGGCCATGTTGAACTTTTTTTTTATACACCTGTTAGCCATTTATGTGTCTTCTTTTGAGAAATGTCTATTCAGATTTTTTGCTTATTTTAATTAATTAATTAATTTTTTTGAGGTGGAGTTTTGCTCTCATTGCCCAGGCTGGAGTGCAATGTCGTGATCTCGGCTCACTGTAGCCTCCGCCTCCTGTGTTTAAGTGATTCTCCTGCCTCAGCCTCCCGAGTAGTTGGGATTACAGGCGCCCGCCACCACACCCAGCTAATTTTTTGTATTTTTAGTAGAGGCGGGGTTTCATCATGTTGGCTAGGCTGGTCTCGAACTTTTGCCCTCAGGTGATCTGCCCACCTCTGCCTCCCAAAGTGGGATTACAAGCATGAGCCACTGCTCCTGGCCCTTTGGCCTATTTTAAAATCAGATTTTCTTTTCCCTATTGATTGTTTAAGCTTTTTATATATTCTGGTTATTAATCCCTTGTCAGATGGGTAGTTTGCAAATATTTTCTCCCATTCTGTGGGTTGCCTCTGGTTGCCACGCGATGCAAGCATTTTTAGAGAAATGCATTAGCAATGGTGTTTGAGTCCAAGTCTATGCTCCTACAATAATCAGAGGACCTTGTCTGGGAGTGGTTACCGATCTTTAGAGAATTTCCTCTACCTTATGTGAGGGATACCAAATCACTTTTTTTTTTTTTTTTTGCCATTAATCATAATCTCTTGGACACATAAGGAAGTGTAGTTTGCAATAAGATATATCAGTACATTTTATTTTAGTCAATCTTAAAAAATATAGCCCCATACCAAATCTGAACGTGGTAACTCAAGTATGAACATATGGTAAACTTACCATCACTTTCATGGTCACAGCCAGTGCTGTACAACTGTTGTTCTCAGCACCAGGAACAACATAACTTTCATCTCCCTGAAAACATTTAATTTTTTAGTTGCCTTAATAGAAGATTCTCGCTTAGACATGCCCCAAGTAAAATTCTTCCAAAGCAAACAAAAGTGCTGTCTGTGCCCTTGCCCTACCATTCACTCAGTTTCAGTTATTCCTAGGAAATCTTTGAAGATTTTTATTTACAACTGAAAACATTGTATGCCCAGAGTAAATAATGCCATAAGACAATATTAGAACCATCCATGAATTCTACACATAAACAACTATTTTCATGTTTTTGTATCATATATATGTGTGTGTATATATATATATACACACACACACATACACATACATACTTAATTTTTTTTTTTTTTGAGACACTCTCACTCTATCACTTAGGCTGGAATACAGTGGCGCAATCTCAGCTCACTGCAACCTCTACCTCCTGGGTTCAAGCAATTCTGATGCCTCAGCCTCCTGACTAGCTGGTATTACAGACATGCGCCACCACGCCTAGCTAGTTTTTGTATTTTTAGTAGAGAACAGGATTTCTCCATGTTGGCCAGGCTGGTCTCGAACTTCTGACCTCAAGTAATCCACCCACCTCGGCCTCCCTAAGTGCTGGGATTACAGGTGTGAGCCATTATGCCCGGCCCATACATATTTAAACCACAGCAGATATTCTATTTTGTAATTTTTAATTTTCTTTTCTTTTCTTTTTCTTTTTGAGACAGAGTCTGGCTCTGTCACCCAGGCTGGAGTGCAATGGCGTGATCTTGGCTCACTGCAACCTCCACCTCCTGGGTTCAAGTGATTCTCCTGCCTTAGCCTCCCGAGCAGCTGGGATTACAGGCGTGTACCACCATGCCTGACTAATTTTTTTTATTTTCGTTTTTAGTAGAGATGGGGTTTCACCATGTTGGCTAGGCTGGTCTCAACCTCCTGGGCTCAAGTGATCCTCCCCCTTCAGCCTTCTGAGTAGCTTGGACTGCAGGTGCATGCCACCACACTCAGCTAATTAAATACTTCTTTTTTCTTTTTTTGTAGAGATGGGTCTCACTATGTTATCTAGGCTGGTCTTGAACTCCTAGGCCCAAGCAATCCTCCCACCTCGGCTTCCCAAAGTGCCGGGATTACAGGCCTGAGCCTCTGTGCCTGGCCCTATTTTATATTCGTTGTTTCTCATTGAACAATATATCATGAAACTTTTTCCACATTGCTAGAGTATTCTTTTTTTTTTTTTTTTTTTGAGATGGAGTCTCGCTCTGTCACCCAGGCTGGAGTGCAGTGGCACATCTTGGCTCACTGCAACCTCCACCTCCTGGGTTCAAGCGATTTTTCTGCCTCAGCCTCCTGAGTAACTGGGATTACAGGCGTGCTCTACCACGCTCGCCTAATTTTTGTATTTTTAGTAGAGACAAGGTTTCACCATGTTTGTCAGGCTGGTCCCCAACTCCTGACCTCGTGATCCACCCACCTTGGCCCCCCCAAAGTGCTGGGATTACAGCCGTGAGCCCCCTGCGCCCAGCCCAGTATTCTTAATTTTAATATTTAACATTCCTTTGTGTTGTTTAGTAAGGGCCATCCACCACTCTATTTAAAATAAGACTCCACTCCACCCCACTTCTGAACTCCTTTTCCCTGCCTTTGCTTTGTTTTTCTCCAAAACACTTATCCCCATTTGCCATACTGTACGTTTACTTATGTATCTTGTTTATATTTGTTTCAATCTCCATGGTGGGTGCAGTGGCTCGTGCCTGTCATCTCAGCACTTTGGGAGGCCAAAGTGGGTGGATCACTTGAGATCAGGAGTTTGAGATCAGCCTGGGCAACATGGCAAAACCCCATCTTTACAAAAAATACAATAATTATCTGGGCAGGTGGCATGTGTCTGTAGTCCCAGTTACTTGGGAGGCTGAGATGGAAGGATCACTTGAGCCTGGGAGGTGGAGGTTGCAGTGAGCTGAAATGATGCCACTGCAATCCAGCCTGGGTTACAGAATGAGACCCTGTCTCAAAAAAAAAAAAAAAAAAAAAAGGAAAAGAAAAGAAAAGAAGAAAGGGAAGGGTTGTCTATTTTGTCTACTGCTACAGCTGTCAGGTCAAAGATAATAATTAGCACATGGTAAACATTTGACAAATATTTACTGAATAACTGAGTGAGTTATAATTTATGAAACCCAATACCCCAATTTTGGACATTTTGGTCATGCTAAATATCTCTATGAATATATTTCATTCTATTGAATTTATTTCTTAAGGTACATTCCTAAGAATGAGTCAAGGCTTGTGCAGGTTCATGGCTCCTAGGAGGATTCAGCCACCTCCATTAACTAATGTTGGCCCCCAGACCACTGAGGTTAGACTTTCAGTGCACAGAAATTAAAATTTAACAATACAAGTTTTTATCACATTGGTGTTCAGAAGGTGAGCCAAGATAAATGAATTAAAAATGTATGTTGCAGCAAACTTCCTCAAAGTTAATTTTCAACATGCTGACTTCAGGAACAAATCTGTAAGATTTATTTTGTCAACTTTCTCAGTAGATTTTTGGCATTATATAATACGGGTTAAATCAAATTTCTATAATATACAATAATAGTAAAGAACTTAATAAAATTGACCCATTCGTGGTAAAATTTCTCAGCAAACTATGGGGAACCTTCTCAATCTGATAGCGAACATTTACAGAAACCTACAGCTAGCATCGTACATAATGGTTAAAGACTGAGTGCTCTCTTCCTAAAATTGGTGGCAAAGCAAGAATGTTTACTCTCACTACTCATATTAAACATAGTGCTGCAAGTCCTAGCCAGTACAATAAGACAAGAAAAGGAAATAAAAGGTGTACAGATGTCCTTAGCTGCAAATGACATAATTGTCCACGTAGAAAATCTCAAGAAATCTACAAATAAATTCCTAAAACCAACAGCTATGCTTAGTGAGATCATAGGATACAAGATTAATATGTAAAAAATCATATTTCTAGATAAATAAAAAAAAGAACAAACATTTAAAACACAACTATTTACAATTGCTTAAAAATGAAATATGTGAAAATCGAACAACACATATACAGGATTTGTATGCTGAAAACTATAAAATGTTGACGAAAGAAACCAGAGAAGACCTGAGAGGTAGACTACATTCATGGATTGGAAAAGAATATAATAAAGATCACAATTCACTGCACATTGATCTGCTTTATCTTAACAAAATCCCAGCAGGACTTTTTGTAGATATAGACAAACTTATTCTAAAATTTATTTGGGGCTGGGCGCGGTGGCTCATGCCTGTAATCCCAGCACTTTGGGAGGCCGAGGCTGGCAAATCACGAGGTCAAGAGATCGAGACCATCCTGGCCAACATGGTGAAACTCTGTCTCTACTAAAAACACAAAAATTAGCCAGGCGTGGTGGCGCTTGCCTGTCATCTCAGCTACTCGGGAGGCTGAGGCAGGAGAATCGCTTGAACCCGGGAGGCAGAGGTTGCAGTGAGCCGAGATCACACCACTACACTCCAGCCTGGAGACAGATGACACTCCGTCTCAATCAATCAATCAATCAATCAATAAAAAGAATAAAATTTATTTGGAAATGCAAGAGAACTAAAATAGCTGAAGCGATTTTGAAAAAGAGCAACTACCCTCTGGTAGAAAGGGGTGGGGAAGAACCTCAGCTAACACCCACCATCCACCTGACCTTTCACATGGGCTATTTCGTCCAGTCCTTGAAATAATCCTGCAAGTTGTTCATGATTACTGTTAGTTTATAGAAAGTGTTAAACCACAAGTTTAAGTTCACACAGCCAGGTCTGTCTGACCCCAAGGCTCAAGCCCCTTCCACTGTAGCATCACTGATTGACTGATCCATTCAGCAAAGATTTATTAACCAACTGCCTTTGCCTGACCCTGCCAGGCAGCTACAGGAAATGCGTTCAGCAAAAGACACGTGATTTCGCCGCCATGTTGCTTACAGTCTGGTAGAGGAGATAATGTCAGAGATTAATCATAGAGCCACACAAGTGCATATAAAATTAAAGCACAGTCACTGCTAAAACACAATCCTTTCATACCAGATTACCTTCCAGGCAGCTGAGGTGGCTGCACCTCCCTCTCCTCTTTCAGAGGTCTAAGTCACATTTGTTTCAGAAAACCTGGACATTTTCCCTGATATGAAGCATCTGAAAAGCTTTCCTCAAGGTGAAGGACTTTCTAAAGACTTGGTTGAAAAACATTTAAAAAATTGGCATCTCTTTTTATGATAGGAAAGAATTTTTAAAAGTGTTGTTAAATCAGGCCAGCCATGGTGGCTTATGCCTGTAATCCCAGCACTTTGGAAGGCCAAGGCAGGCGGATCACTTGAGGTCAGGAGTTCGAGACCAGCCTGGACAACATGTTGAAACCTGTTTCTACTAAAAATACACACACACAAATTATCCGGGTGTGGTGGTGCACACCTGTAGTCTCAGCTACTCTGGAGGCTGAGGCAGGAGAATCGTTTGAACCAGGAGGTGGAAGCTTCAGTGAGCCAAGATTATGCCATTGCACTCCAGCCTGGGTGACAGAGCGAGACTCCAACTCAAAAAAAAAAAAAAAAAAAATCAAAGTTTGGGTACTCCCAGTACAATGCCAAGTGAAACCAGTAACAGTTACTTAGCAAATTTAATCAACTTATGGGCCCCAATTAAATGAAAACTAGCAAGTTATTAATTAATCTGTCCAGAGAAGGGGCAGAGGAAGGATATTAGAGTCAGGGTCCCAAGACTTGATGTTATGTATCTGGTAAGATTTGGAAAATTCAGTGAGTCAATGGAACCTTGTAGAATAGTCAGAAAATGGCATGTGAGCTGGTGAGTAAGTTGCATCCGTTGACTTTCTGGATGCATTTTATAATGCCCCATTTCCTTGTAAGTGTTGCATCTGTGCTCATGAAATTAGAGGAAATTCAACCTCTGGGGAAAGTCGTGCCCTAGTGATCTGAGGATGCAGAGAAGGCGTGGGTGGGGAAGTGCTTTGGGATTGACATGACTCACCCTGGCTAGGAGCATGGTGACTGTACTAGCTGCCTCTGAGCCTGTGCGATGAGAGGCTGTTTAGAAGAGGGCTCGCAGCAATGAGTTACTTTGATAGTCCCCTGTTGCTTCTGTTTTCTCAGGCAGGCAGTTTTCCCAGTTCAGGAAGGTTGGTTCCCTTCTCCCCTGACTCTCACCAGTTCTGTAATGAATTCTGCTGCCTGAATACTCTTTCTTTTTTCCTTCTCTAGCCTAAATTAAGCCCATTCTTCAGGGCTTTGTTCAGGTCCTACATACGTTCCCTAGGAGGCCTCTCTTCTGAGTTTCAAATGGCCCATTTCCCTCCTGTGAATTCCCAGAGCCCCTGGGAGATTCTCCTACGCATTTTGGTTCTGAGTCCTTTCCTTTTTGGTTTATTGGTTTCTGAATTGATTTATTCATTTTATTATTTAAGAAAAATTAGTGACAACTCTCCACCAGGCTTTGGATAAGGTTCTAGAAATTCTTCAAACAACGAGACATCTGGGTTTTTTGTTGTTGTTGTTGTTGTTTGTTTTCTTAAACAGAGACAGGACCTTGCTACGTTGCCCGGGCTGGTCTCAAACTCCTGGGCTCAAGTGATTCTCCCACCTCGGCCTCCCAGAGTGTTGGGATTATAGGTGTGAGCCGCCACGCTTGGCCAAGACATCTGTTTTATACAGCACTTTGTCTCTTCAGGTAAAATGTGAGCTCCTAGATGTTGGGGACCACTTCGTTTGGTGGCCACGATCTTCACTCTCTTTGTCCTTCTCCTAACTCATTCTCTTGCAAAGTGTTCGCTGTCCAAGGAGTGCTTGATGCATACTTCAGAATGAGTGAATAAATCAATCGATCAGCTAACTCAGTAACCTGTTAATCTAGTTCACAGTTTTTAAAACCTAGGTCTTCTTGTATCACAGAGAACCAATTATCTTATTTAATATAGGTGTACCCGTTTCTAAGAAAAAAAAGACACGTTGAGTTAAAACTATGACAAGAATTCAAAGTTGAGAGAGATGAGTATTCACTTTCCAAAAGACATTTTTGCTTTACCAAAAGGCTTGCCATGAAGTTTCTTTATGTTGTGAGTTCCTGTCTCTAAAATATTTGAAATGCAGTCAACCATTTAGTAATGCAACCTCTAAATGAGGCGAGAGAGAGGTACAGGCAGTAACAACCAACCGCTATTACCTGCTTGGGCTGCCGTGGGCAGAGACCTCCTTGTTCTTAAAAGTACTCTGAGGACAGTGATGGGTACAGCTGCCTCCTGCTGCTGGATCAACTGCAGAGTGGCAGGGCCTGATTCCTTTACATCATTCAAAGGGTATTGTGACGCACACTGGCTTGCAAGGTTTTGCCAGGCAATGCCTTTCAGGTCCTGGGCTTAGAAAAAGAGTGCTCCTTTGGTCTCTAGGGAGAGACCAGCTGCACATGAAAGAAGGGGCAAAAATTACTGTGAAAAGGAAAATCATGTAGGCAAATAACCAGGCTATCTAATCACTAGAGCTTGCTTTCCTGTAAAGATTGTCCCAAGGACAACGTAAGGTGAAAATCTGGGTGGTGCCACACTGAGGAGTCCTGCCCTTTGCAAGCTGGAATTGAGGAAGGATGGTTTGGCACGAGGGGCAGATGAGGCCAGCCCCGCCTTGTCCAAGGTTAGGTCAGGCTCCAACCTGCTCCTTTGCAGGTATCAAAGGATAATTTTAATTATTTAAAAATATGCTGCAAACCAATCCATGGAGTATCACAACAGCACCACTATATAGAAGCAAGCCATAACCTGAGAAGAAGAGAGTGGCAAAAATATTTATTCTGACCAACCTCTGTC
Source organism: Homo sapiens (assembly GCF_000001405.40). Lineage (NCBI taxonomy): Eukaryota > Metazoa > Chordata > Mammalia > Primates > Hominidae > Homo > Homo sapiens. The sequence continues at coordinate 244,352,097 of NC_000001.11, read as the reverse complement.
AAAACCAAACCAAACCAAAACGAAACACTGGCATTTTTTTTTCTTTTTTTTTTTTTGTGATGGAGTCTCTGTTGCCCAGGCTGGAGTACAGTGCCACAATCTCGGCTCACTGCAAGCTCTGCCTCCCGGATTCAAGCGATTCCCCTGCCTCAGCCTCCTGAGTAGCTGGGACTACAGGCGCGTGCCACCACGCCCGGCTAAGTTTCTGTATATTAGTAGAGACGGGGTTTCACCACGGCCAGGATGGTCTCGATCTCCTGACCTCATGATCCTCCCGCCTCGGCCTCCCAAAGTGCTGGGATTACAGGCGTGAGCCACCACACCCAGCCAACACTGGCATTATCTACAGTAGGTTGTCCTGGAAACAGGGACACTTCTCACTTATATACAGTTTGCAGGTTAGAATGTAAAATATTTCCATAAGATTCCAGAAGGCACTCAGGAGAGACCAGGGGCCAGGCTGGGTTCCTGCTGGGAGCTTAACCTACATGGAACAGGCATAAAATAATGTAATGACAGAGTCTTGGTGACAGCATTTTGTTGAAAGCAGATAAGCTAGGGAAAACTTAAATAAATATATGAGGACAGAAGCAACAAACTGGAACCACACTAAGAGAAAGGATAAATTGGTTTGATTTGTTGAGTGAGCACCACACGTTTTTTTAGCTATTAGACACACACCATCTAGAATCTCCACCACCACCATGGAAGGAGATTCTCTTTTGAAAATGAAGTATTTCTATTTGAAATGAAGGCTAAGAGAAGAAGCTACGGAACTTGCCTAACAGTCACACAACGAGGCCGTAATGAATCTATGATTTGAATCCAGCTATTTGACGTCAAAGGCGTTTTAAGAGTAATAACCAGTATTCTTCACTGAGGAAAAAAAATGAACAAAAAATCCCCATGTTCTTTACGTAAGACATACCTGGCAATATAACAGAAAGTACAAAGAAGAAAGTTTCACTCGCGTTCGTGTGAAGAGACAACCAAACAGGCTTTGTGTGAGCGATAAAGCTTTTTAATCAGCTGGGTGCAGGCCGTCTGAGTCCGAAAAGAGAGTCAGCAAAGGGGAGATAGGGGTGAGGCCGTTTTATAAGATTTGGGTAGGTAAAGGAAAATTACAGTCAAAGGGGGGTTGTTCTCTGGCGGGCAGGAGTGGGGGTGACAAGGTGCTCCGTGGGGGAGCTTTTTGAGCCAGGATGAGCCAGGAGGAGGAATTTCACAAGGTAATGTCATCGGTTAAGGCAAGGACCGGCCATTTTCACTTCTTTTGTAGTGGAATGTCATCAGTTAAGGCAGGAACAGGCCATTTAAATTTCACTTCCTCTGTGATTCTTCAGTTACTTCAGGCCATCTGGATATATACGTGCAGGTCACACCAGCAGGCTATCAGTAAAGTCCTCCTTACCGGTGGGAGGTGGAGTAGGGCTAGCCCCTGGCATTCTGTAGGGAAGCAAGTGTTAAAACTTTCACTTAAGCCGGGCGTGGTGGCTCACGCCTGTAATCCCAGCACTTTGGGAGGTCAAGGCGGGCGGATCACCTGAGGTCGGGAGTTCGAGACCAGCCCGGCCAACATGGTGAAACCCCCGTCTCTACTAAAAATACAGAATTAGCCGGGCGTGGTGGCGCATGCCTGTAATCCCAGCTACTCGGAAGGCTGAGGCAGGAGAATCGCTTGAATCCGGGAGGCAGAGCTTGCAGTGAGCCGAGATCGAGCCATTGCACTCCAGCCTGGGCAACAAGAGCAAAACTCCGTTTCAAAAAAAAAAAAAAAAAAGTTTCACTTACAGCACAAAAGGACAGAGTAGGAGGAGGAGGAAGCAACTGGCAGGTGCAGTTTCTCAGGCATTTGAGAGGTTGGAGAAGTCATTATGAGAGTAATGAAACTGGCTGGTTCCTGATGAGTACAATCTATGCTTTGCAGTAAGACGGTAAACATCATCATTAATTTAGGCAAAGTGTGAAAGCAGGGCTCCCCCTTTGCAGCATACAGAGGGGCTCTCATTTCCTGCAGCAGGGGGGCAGGAAAAGATGAGAATTAGACTAAGGATTTAAATATAAGGGTAGTGGGGCCCCCGAGAAGAACCTGGCAAATCTGCTCTGCCAACATCATGGCTGAGTTTGGAAAGGATTGGTGACCTCAGATTTGGTTGAGGACAAAGAGGTCAATGCACTTGACGGCTTGCAAACTCAGATTCCTCTCTGTCCGGGGTTATTATTCCTCCCTGGCTTGACGGCTTGAAGATAATGCAGGGGTCGTCTCACCACCGCTTCAGGATTTACCATTTCCTCTGCTGGCCGCCAGACGATAATTAGATGGAGCAGCAACATGACCCGCAGGGGAAGTGCCTGACCCACTAAGAGAGGAAAGAAATGATGAGTCAAAGAAAAATAATCTGAATTTCAGTCAGAAGGAAAGATTAGACAAATTCAAACATTCTACAGCATAACTGGCCTGGACTCTTTAAAAATGATAAAGTCAAAAAAGATACCAGAAGGCTGAGAAACTCTTCTAGATTAAAAGAGAACAAGAGATATGACAAAGAAAAGCAATCCGTCCTCTTGGGCTGGGTCCTGGCCCAGACTGGGAAGTCCCCTGCCGCAGAGCCCGATGCACTTTCTGGAGGCCCTCTTGAGGACCAAGGTCCTATTCCCCAGCTGAAAGCTTTGCCTGCTCCTAGATCATAGTTCACTTATGTGCCAAGAATTGGCATTACCCAAGATTACACACCCTTCCTGGGGTAGCCCATGTCCAAAGATTGATTAACACGGGGATACAAAAGTCCAGCCTTCTTGCTTGAATTTGGGACATCTCTGGAGTTCCATTCTAGTTTCAGAGCTTTCCGTGGCATTGGCTGACGCATCTGAAGTAAGTGACTCATAGTTCAGCTTCTCCCTTTGCCAAATCCTGTTTTCTTCACTCCCTTCCACGTGTTGCTACACAAGCACGCCCCGATAGACCACTTCCCAACAGACTGCTTCATGAAAATTTCCATCTCAGAGTGTGGAGCCCAGGAAACCCTGTCTAAGAGACCAACTCAAGGCCAAAGGACCTCCCCCTTCAAAAGAACTGCAACCCTGCCGTTTTCCATCTGTCTCCGGTCAAATGTTGCGATGTTTACACTGGAGCAGGTACACCATGTGCTTTGGGGGTAGGGGAGGGAATGAAGAAGATGGTGGCTAAAGAGCATTCCGTCAGCCATTCCATCCCATTATTCCATTAGACCCATGGTCACGTGCACCTGTAGTCCCAGCTACTCAGGAGGCCAAGTGGCAGGAGGATCGATTGAGGCCAGGAGTTCGAGACCAGACTAGGCAACATAGTGAGACCCTGTCTCAAAAACAATTTTTTGGCTGGACATGGTGGCTCACACCTGTAATCCCAGCACTTTGAGAGGCCAAGGCGGGTGGATCATGAGGTCAGGAGATCGAGACCATCCTGGCTAACACGGTGAAACCCCGTCTCTGCTAAAAATACAAAAAATTAGCCGGGCTTGGTGGTGGGCACCTGTAATCCCAGCTACTCCAGAGGCTGAGGCAGGAGAATGGCGTGAACCCGGAAGGCGGAGCTTGCAGTGAGCCAACATCATGCCACTGCACTCCAGCCTGGGCGACAGAGAGAGACTCCGTCTCAAAAAAAAACAAAACAAAAAACATTTTTTTTATTTACAAAAGCCACATTTTGCAGAACTATCTGACATAATATTCTCAATGACAATTTAAAAATGTCTCTTTATCAGACACACAATACATAGTGTTTAAGGAGAACCTGCCAGGTACTCATTCCTGTACTGGCCAGCTGGGAGTGAGGAAATTCTAGGAGACGTGGAGACGATCATAGGCCAAAAGTGCAGCTCTGCACCTTGGCTATAAAACAGGGCAATAAAACCTACCACATGAGGCTCATTCCCAACGGGATTACAAGCAGAATGTCTGTGACAGCACTTTGTTGTTTGCAAATGTTAGTTATAATTATATAGTACAGCCATAAACCTCAAAAAGCTATGTAGACTGGGAGGTCACACTCTGACTCATTGACATAAACTGTCCTTTGGGACAATTGCATATTGGATATTCTCCTCAGACCTTTTTTCACTTTCCCCTGGATTTTTTTATTGTAAATTGACCATTTATAATTGTATAATCAAATATTTTATTGAGAAAATTTCAAACTTACAGAAAAGTTGAAAGAATACAACAAGCGTTCATGTACCTTCAACCTAGTTTCACCAATTTTTAATATTTTCACATTATATAATTTTTTTCCGAACCATTTGAAAGTAGACATCATGACAGTTAATTCTAAATATTTCAGCATGCATTTCCTAAGAATAGGAACATTTTCTGTTAACCCCAGTGGGCTGTCTCATCTAAGAAAAGTAACACTAATTTTATAATACCATCACATATACAGTCCAAATTTGAATTTTTGTAAATGACCCACAAATGTTTTTCGAAATGTATCTTTTCTTCCTCTCTTATTTTCAGTGACCCATGATCGAATCACATTCTATTCGGTTATTATGTCTCTGGCCTCTTCTAATCTATTTCCCCTCATTCTTTTGTTTACTTTTCATGATAATAACTTGGTTTAAAGAGTGTGTGCCAGTTGTAGAATGTCTCACAGTCAATTTTTTTCTCATTTGCTCATGATAAGATTCTAAGGAAACACTGTTGGCATGAGTACCCCATGTGGGAATTTGTGGCATACTGTATACCTTTAAAGACCTTATCAAGGACTTAAATAGAGTTCTTTTGGTTTTAAGTTACAAAAATAATCACTATTAACTTGATAAAAAAATTAACTTCTTGGAAGGCAGTTTATTGGAGTGGACTATAGAATTGAAGGAAGGACGGGACTCACCATGCCTCAAGGAGGCAGTACCAGGTCAGGTCTTGGGATCCCAGAAGCAGGGGTTCATGGTCCCTTGGGCACTGCCATTGATATGACGCGGCTTCCATGACACCCTGTCTGTTGGGGTCAGGTCACATAGACACAGCCACTGGGGAAATAAGATCAGGCAGCCACCCCAGCTGCTTTCTATTTAAGAGATGAAGACATTTACCATTATATGAGGCTTATACGAAAAGGCTTTTACTTGCTTTCTTTATTTGATTTGCCCAACAGATCAAGAGACAGGAAAGTCTCTGAAGGATCCCCCAAGCAAAAGATTGTCTCCTAAGTCATAAGATCATTTTGTGCATCTCATTAGCCTGCCTTCCCCAGTCCTCACCCTCCGCCCCCAATTAATTAAATCACCGACATCTCAGTCACCCAAGTCATACATTTGGGAATCGCCTAAGAATCCTTCTCCCTCAGCCCTCACTTCTGGTAGCTCACTAAGTACTTTCACTTCTGCTTCCTGATAGTCTCACCATGCTGTTCTCAACTCATCTGCTAGTTCTGTTCCTTATCACTTCTTGTTTGGACCTGTTTGAAAGACTGTGAGCTGAGCCTGTAGGTCCCCTCTCCACCGAGCAGCCCTCATTTCTTCCTGGCCAACACAACCACAATTTTGTTCAGGTTGCAGTCGGCCCAGCCCAAGAGAATGATTATGGTTGATCTCAGCCAAGTTTGGAGATCCCATTCCCTTTTGTGTGTGTGTGTGTGTGTGTGTGTGTGTGTGTGTGTGTGTGTGTGTTTTGTTTGTTCACTTTTTGGTCTCGGGGTTTTTTGTTTTGTTTTGTTTTGTTTTGTTTTTGAGACAAGGTCTCTCTATGTTGCCCAGGATGGTCTCAAACTCCAGTGCTCAAGTAATCTTCCCACTCCAATCTCCTGTAGCTATTACTCCAGGTACAACCTCCTGAGTAGCTAGTACTACAAGTGCACACTGCCACATCCAGTTCCCAATCCTCTTAGTTCTATGCTCATGGCTCTGTCCTTCCTCACAGCTCAGAGCACCTTTGTGACTTAGTTCTAACCAACATAACCAACAAGATGTAAGGAAACATCCATTGGGGGTTTTCTACAGAATGTTTTCCTCGCTGAAAAATGAACTATCTTTTTCCACCTTCCGCTTCCATTCCCCGTGATAGCAAACACAATGTCTGGGGCCCAGCAGCCACTGTGCAGTTGATGCAGCCATGCTGTCACGCGTGCTGCTTCCTGGCTGTAGACACATTGCTCCTCATGTCTGCCTGGCTGATTTCTATTCATTCTTCATCTAGGGAGTGTCCCCTACCCACCTGACCTTGTAAGCCCTCTCCCACACCACTGATCACTATGTACTGTCTACCTGTGTGCCAGCCCAGTTACACCTTAAAGTTGGCACGTATCTTCTCTTCTTCATTAGAAGCAGCATAGGTTTGTTAAGAGCAAGAAGTCTGGCCACAGAGCCCTGGTTTCATTATTTTATTTTATTTTATTTTATTTTGAGACAGGGTCTCACTTGTCACTCAGGCTGGAGTGCAGTGGCACAACCATGGCTCACTGCAGCCTTAACCTCCTGGGCTCAAGCAATCCTCACACCTCAGCCTCCAGAGTGGCTGGGACTACAGGCATGAGACATCATACCTCACTAATTTTTAAATTTTTTGTAGAGATAGGGTCTCATTATGTTGCCCAGGCTGAGCTCTGATTTTAAATTCTCATGCTACTACTTTATTGGCTCCATTGGTCATTCCTTACTTTCAGAGCCTTAATTTTCTCATTTGAAGAATGGCAGTAAGATCATTATGATCTAGATTGTAGGATTGTTATGGGGAATAAAGAATCAATGCACATTAGCTTAGCACAGTGCCTGGTCCATGATAACTTCTCATCGTGCGTTCATTGGCCTTATTATTATTTCCGTTTCTGGCACCTACACAAAATCAGTCACTTACTAGACAGCTGAGCTCTGATTCACCTTGGAGATCTTGACTCCAAGTCGAGTGCTCTTTTTACTGACCTGAAGTTTGTGGGGTTAAAGAGACACAGTCCTACTTGCTAGCTCAGGCCCAAGTGGGCTGCTGGTGTTGAATGTGTGGTGACAAGTGCACAGGTCCATGGCACTATTCATTTATACCCAGATGTCACTTGGTCATCTGACTGCTTAGGATCTAGGTAAGAGTGTTTCAAATCCACAGTATCACTGCATGAATCCATCTGAAGCCTGCTGGGGAGGGAGCAGGGCTATGGTTATTTTGACTTTAAACTCTACTTTTTTTTTTTTTTTTGGTAGAGGCAGGGTCTCGCTCTGTCACCCAGGCTGGAGGGCAGTGGTGTGATCAGGGCTCACTGCAACCTTGAACTCCTGGGCTCAAGCAATCCTCCCACGTCAGCCTTCCGAGTAGCTAGGACAACAGGTGCGCACCACTGTGACTGGCTAATTTGTAAAAATTTTTTGTAGAGATGAGATTTCGCCACATTGCCCAGACAGATCTTGAACTGCTGGCCTCTAGTGATCCTCCCAAAGTGATGTGATTACAGGAGTGAGCCACCATGTTTTTTTTTCAACCAATTTATGGGTGTGATAGAGACTGCTATTTGTCCCTCATATCTATTCCGTCCTTATAGAGCCCTCACTTTTTAGCTGTACTCAGGGGTGACTCACCTAAAGACTATATTCCTCAGCCTCCCTTTCATTTGTTTAAGAAAAAAATATAGAAAGACTAAGAGAGTACAGATGGTGCAATGAGTGGGAAAGTTATATCCTTGAGCAAGAAACTCAATCTAGCACAGATTCTAGGTTCTGGGGGATTTGGTTCAAGGGAGGCCAAATGCAGTCGGTTTTTAAAGCCAAGACTGAGAACTGTGTAGGTCTCATGTCAGAAAATCGCAGTGTCTCAATGTTGTGTTGGCTGGCAACATCTAGATTTGCTGGTTAGGTAAGCACTGGGTTGACTGGAACCGTGCAGCATATGTGGGGTACCTACTTTGGGACGGTGGCATCCAGCAGCCTCTGCTTGAGTGAGGATTATAGTGTTCAGTGAAACATGCATTAATGGCAGCAGGCTGGGTGGCCAGGTCCTTGTATGTCACATTTAAGTGTGGCTATGTGTCTAATTTTGGCCAAGGAAATGCAATGGTGAGAGTGCTCTGTGCTATTTTTAAAAGGCATGGTCTTCTCCTTCCTGTTTGGTGGAGATGCAGACGGGATGCGGGGGTACAAGCAGTCCTGGGTCCCTGTGATGGAAGCCGGGAATGTAGGATGGTGGAATAATACATTTGAAGAAGGCTGGTTCCCTGATGCTTGTGGAGCCACCAAACCAGCTCCTGACTCCTTTCCTCGGGACTGGGTTTAGATGAAAGAGCAGTGAGCTTCTATCCTGTTGAAGCCCATCCCTTTTTTTTTTTTTTTTTTTGACCAAGTCTTGCTGTGTGGCCCAGGCCGGAGTGCAGTGGCAGGATCTCAGCACCTCCACCTCCCATGTTCAAGAGATTCTCTTGCCTCAGCCTCCTGAGTAGCTGGGACTACAGGCACGCGCCACCACTCCCAGCTAGTTTTTGTATTTTTAGTAGAGATGGGGTTTCGCCATGTGAGCCAGGCTGGTCTGGAATTCCTGACCTCAGGTGATCCGCCTGCCTTGGCCTCCCAAAGTACTAGGATTACAGGCGTGAGCCACCGCACCCGGCCTTGAAGCCCATCTCTGCAGAGCCAGACCCTCATATGTGTTGAGCAGGACAAGATCTACCTGTCTGTAAAGGAATTTTGTTTTTAAATAGGAATTTTCTACCCAGTCACCTCCCTTCATTCATTCACTTGTTGAAAAAATGTTAGATATTGTATACCAATATTTCCTTTCCCTTTATACTTAGGAAAGGCAGGAGTTATAGTAAAAAACAAACAAACAAAAACAACAACAACAGAAAACAGGGGTACTGAGAAAGAGCCAGATGCCACTGTCACTAAAATCCTAGTTCCTGAGCCTTGTGTGGCCACAGGGAAGAAAGATTGATGATAACATGGTTGTCACAACACAGTCAGAGCTCACAGTCACGTTTCAGTGCTAATCGTAACCACGGCAGAAGATGAGCTATGTGCTGTTTTACTATGGAAACTTGTTTTATTTCTCTTGCCCCCTCTTTTTTTTTTTTTTTTTTTTTTTCCAGCACCACATAGGATGGCAGGCAAGTACAGTGATGTCTCTGGGCCTCCTAGGAGGCTGTGGAAGTTAGGTGCAGTTTTTCTTATGATGACCATTTGGACTCTGGCGCCTTGATACGGTGTCATCAATAAGTAGCAAGATCCTGGAGAGAAACACCTGAAATGGAAGCCGGAACGTAGACCACAGTCAAAATTAAGTTTATGGAAAATAAAGAAATGTAAAAAAAAGTTATTTATGTAAGTTTTGGAACAAGATTGATACTTGCTACGTAACTTCCATTTGTGGAGCCCTTATTGCAAGCCTGACATGTTGCTGAAGTCTCCTCCTCATGAGGTTCTTTTTCTTTTTCTGTCTTTTTTTTTTTTTTTGAGACAGGTTCTCACTTTGTCCCTCAGGCTGGAGTGCAGTGGTGCAATCATAACTCACTACAGCCTCGACCTCCCGGGCTCAAGCAAACCTCCCACCTCAGCTTCCCAATTGGCTGGGATTGCAGATGCATGCCACCATGACTAGCTAATTTTTGGGTTTTTTTGTAGAGACAAGGTCTCCCTATGTTGCCGAGGCTGGTCTTGAACTCCTGGGCTCAAGCAGTCCTTTCACCTGGGCCTCCCAAAGTGCTGGGATTACAGGTGTGAGCCTCCATGCCCAACAGATTATTTTTTTAAGTTCTCACAGTGTTATGAGGTGGGTACTACAAAATCCAACTTGCGAAGGAAGCAACTGAGGCCTGGAAACACTGAGTGTCTGACCCATAGTTACACAGGCAGTAAAGGCAAAGTTAGGCTCTGAACCCAGGTCTGGGTGACCCCAAATCCCTGCCTCTGTGGAGTGTGCTTGAGGCTGTGGGTCAGAAGACCTGAATTGGGATCCTGGCTTTGCACAGCGTAGCTCCCTGACTTTGGGTACGTTTAGTCTCTCTGGGCTTCTGTATCCTCAGTTGACAGCGTCCCATCCTCCTGTGCCCGTCAGCAGCAGGAGATCATTGCCCCACAATACGGGCATTCTGCTTCTGTTTCTTCCTGTCTCATAGGCTCATGTGATGACTGATTCAACTGGGAGAAAACTCTGGGAGGATCTTACTGGGCGACAGAATGGGCAATGGTGGGGAGGCTCTTGCAGAGAGAGAGAGGAGACTTAAGGTGAATCATAAACACTGCCCCCCTCTCACCTGCAGTTCCTGCCCCATCCTGTCTCCGTTGGACCACAGCCCTTTGTCCCCAGACTGGGTGACTCAGCACTTGCAGGAGAGAACTGACTGAGGCTGAAGTTGCCAGAGGAAACCAAACAATTCTTATTTACCAAACTGTCAAAATCCTATCACTGCAATTAAGGAGATAGGCAATTAACTGTGTCTTAATTACAGCAGCTGCCACTTCTTCTGAATGCTGTAATTTACAGAGAGAATGGGAGGAGACTTTACGTTAATGTGTGTCTTTAAACAACGGAAAACATCGATGGAGCCTGAAGACAATCGTCAGCCTGGTGGGGGGCCCCTCCTGGGAAGAGGCATTGTTACAGAGTGTGCTTGCGGGACCCGTGATTTTCCCTCGCGCATGGGCTGCATTCATAACAAATGCCAGAATGACATTGTTACATCCTGTATTATACACAATACAATTTACTGATTCCAATAGCAACATCATCTGTGAAAACCTCTGCGAGTGTCCTCTCAGTCTTGGTTTAAAAAAAAACACATACAAGCTCAGTTTTAAAACAAAGAGTTTTTTGTTTGTTTGCTTTTGTTTTTTGAGACAGAGTCTCACTCTGTTGCCCAGGCTGGAGTGCAGTGGTGCGATCTCGGTTCACCGCAACCTCCACCTCCTGGGTTCAAGTGATTCTCCTGCCTCAGCCTCCCAAGTAGCTGGGATTACAGGCATGTGCCACCACGCCTGGCTAATTTTTTTATTTTTCTTAGAGACGGGGGTTTCGCCATGTTGGCCAGGCTGGTCTCAAACCCTTGACCTTAGGTGATCCACCTGCCTGGGCCTCCCAAAGTGCTGGGATTATAGACGTGAGCCACCACGCATGGCCCTAAAACAAAGAGTTTTAAACATTAAGTCCAGACTCATGGTCAGAGAAAGAAGGTTTTACTTTTTTATTTATTTATTTATTTTGAGATGATGTCTCACTATGTTGCTGGAAAAAAAGCTTTTAAATTCAGGATTTTAAAGGGTATTCAGATTTACATCTGTACAACCACTCTACGGGGTGGGTTTTACACGAATGAGGAAACCGACTTGCAGAGAAACTAAGAAACTTGTTCAGGCTCACGGAGCAAGCTATTAAGTGGCTAAGTTGGTTTCAGGCCCAGAGTTTGCTTTCTTCCTCAAGGCCGGTTGGCCACGTGGGATGCAAGGTTGACCACAGTGAGGGACCCCACACAGGGGAGAAGACAGAGCCGTGGCAAATCCAGGAGGAGCAGCCGTTAGTGAGGCGGCTGGCAGGTGAGAGAGAGCCCAGACTCGGCTGCAGTTTGGAGCTGCGCTTCAGTCCCGGGGAGGCCCCGAGTGGAGCGGTAGTAACGTGACGCTCTCAGGTGACACTGACCAGGCCTCCAATGCCTGCTCCTCCACTCCCCAGCCAGATGACCTTGGGAAATGTCCTTATCATCTCTGAGCTTCAATAGCGTCAATGTTCTTCATGTATGCTGGGGACCAGTTCAGCCTTGCACAACTGCCATGAGGATATAAAAGGAGAAGATGTGGCCCAGGGTCTGGAATTGTGGCTGGGATGCTGAAGTCACCTGGTAAATGTTTGTACATGCTTCTTCTTCCTCAAAGGAGGCTGGGCAGGGCCTCCAATCTAGGAGGCACGGGGGGTGCTGAGCAGTTACCAGAAAAAGGACAAATCCAGGGCCTGACTGACAGTAAGAACCAGAGCATACACTGAGGGAGGGAGGCTCAGTCTTAGGGATAAGCTGGATGCTTGGTTATCAACATCAGGGACCAGACCAATGCTGGACAGCAAATACCACGGGCTGCATGTTGAGTCCCAGAGAGTTGGGGTCAAGGCTGTCACATCCTCCTGCTTCGGATCAGAATGAATCCTAGGACCTGTGCAGGAGTCTAAGTGGCTGAGTTGTGAGGCTGGGTGGGCTCCAACACCCAGGGTGTCAGCTGGGTGGCCCCGGGCCCGGGCTTCCTCTTGGCAGACTCTCTCTCCTCAGTGCATGGACGTACTGTTCTAGCAGCCTGCAGAGAAATGACAATTGCCTCGACCAGAGGGCTAAGTGAGGGTGCAGTGCCGTGCCTGCAAGACACCTCACCTTAGACTGGTTCCTCTGGGAGCATCTCCTCTCTTGTTTGATTGAAATTTGACCCGTCTTCTGGAGAGACAGAGTTTTCAACACAATTCATTAATTTAGAGATACAATTATATCAAAGTGGCTGGGCACAGTGGCTCATGCCTTAATCCTAGTGCTTTGGGAGACTGAGGTGGGAGGACTGATTCCAGCCGGGAGTTCGAGAGCAGCCTGGGCAACAAAAATAAAAAACTAGCTGGGGATTGTGGCACATACCTACAGTGCCAGCTGCTTGGGAAGCTACGGTCGGGGGATCCCCTGAGCCCAGGCGTTTGAGGCTATAGTGAGCTCTGATTGCAGCACTGCACTCCAGCCTGGATGACAGAGTGAGACCCTGTCTCAAAAACGAAAACAAAAACCAGAAAAAAAGTCACATAAAAGCAAAGTGCGTGCCTGCAATCACCTTCACAAGAGAGTTGAATGTAACCTCAGAGTTGCCTGGTAACCATTGTAGAACAGACAGGGCCAACCCCAGCAAGTGGGCCTCCCCTCCTGACCTCCCCGGCCCTTCTCTTCACTCCTCTGAGCAAAGTCAGCATCCGGGAGGGAAGCTGGTGTTAGTCCTCTGGATCCTGATGGAATCTCCCAGGGAAGCCAGCACTGTAGCATCAACATTTGTGACCAACATAATTGTAGAGGCACCGCTCATCTAACGACCAGCAGCAGAAGTGCCATCCAGAGGCTGTGATCAGAGATCTGTCTCCAAGAGTCACTGATAGTTTCCCAGAAAGGAAGGTCAGAGATGAAAGAGCACAGAGTGATAATGGCACAGATCTGGACCTGGTGGTCCGGCGGGGTTGCGGGGTGATCCTATTGCACTCTCACTGTCTTAAAATTATTGACTTTCTTGTTCATCATTTGCAGAAGCCAAACTCCACATCTTGTAAACTCCTATGCACCCAGACTTAACACAGAAGCAACAAATGTTAACAGGCTACAGGCAAGTGGAATTAACATTGGGCAGAGATTTTAGTGTGGAGATTCCTTAAAGAACTAAAACTACCATTTGATTCAGCAATCCGACTCTTGGGTATCTACCCAGAGGAAAAGAAGTCATTAAGCAAAAAAGATACTTGCACACACGTTTATAGCAGCACAATTTGCAATTGCAAAATCGTGGAACCAACCCAAATGCCCATCGATCAGCAAGTGGACAAAGAAACTGTGGTGTATATATATATATGATGGAATACTACTCAGCCATAGAAAGGAATGAATTAACGGCATTTGCAGCCATGTGGATGAGATTGGAGACTATTATTCTAAGTGATGTAACTCAGGGATGGAAAACCAAACACTGTATGTTCTCACAGATATGTGGGAGCTAAGCTATGAGGACACAAAGGCATAAGGATGATACAATGGACTTTGGGGACCTGAGGGGAAGGGTGGGATGGAGGTGAGGGATAAAAGACCACAAATAGGGTGCAGTGTTTACCCCTCGGGTGATGGGTGCACCAAAATCTCACAAATCACCACTGAAGAACTTAGTCATGTAACAAAATACCATCTGTTCCCCAATAACCTATGGAAAAAAAAAACAACCACTGGGCAGAGTTTTGGTTCCCTGCCCATTATTCTTGCATTCAGTCATATTAAGCCACCAGGAAATCTTTGCCCACAGAATCACAGAAAATAGGGCTGGACAAACCTTGGAGACCATTTGGTTAAATGAGTAAACTGCTTAAGACCATAGTAAAATTACTCCATCCATTCAGAGCTTACTAATGGAGCATGCTGGGCATGGTGCTAGTTGCTGAGTAAACCGTGGTTACAGCATAGGCCGCTGGCAGATCTAGAGAAAAACCTTACTTCTATTGACGCTTGGTCTTTTCTTGTTCATACCTCATGGGAAGGTCAGTGACCCCTATCAGGGTCCATCTAATATGTTTTGCAAGAATAATTTTTTTTTTCTAGATAGAGTCTCACTCTGTCACCCAGGCTGGAGAGCGGTGACATGATCTCGGCTCACTGCAACCTCTGCCTCCCGGGTTCAAGCAATTCTCCTGCCTCAGCCTCCCAAGTAGCTGGGATTACAGGCACACACTGCCATGCCCAGCTAATTTTTGTATTTTTAGTAGAGATGGAGTTTCACCATGATGGCCAAGCTGGTTTCAAACTCCTGATCTCAAGAGATCCGTCCACCTCGGCCCCCCGAAATGCTAGGATTACAGACGTGAGTCACCGCGCTTGGCCTGTTTTGCAAGAACAATTTAAAAAGATTCTCAGGGCAGGAAAACCACTTTTGCCTGTTGTGAGTGAAATGGCCGGCAAGAAACCAGGAAAGGAAAGAGAGGAAGGTTGGAAAAGTTAGGAAGTCTTTGAGGCAGGGATCAGAAAACGTAGATGCTCCAGGAGCCTGGCAGATATGCATAAGTGAGCGGACGTGGTTAGTGACCACAACAGGGGTGCCCTGCAGGGGTCGGAGGTCATCTAACCCTGCCAGAGGGAGCGGCTGCCACTCAGCTCTGAACTCTTGGTGCGTGTTGTGGGACTATGGCCTAGTGTTGCCAGGTCTTCCCATATTTCAAGAGAAACCAGATTTTTAATGGGAACTTTCTCAAATTCTAGTGCACTGAGCAAGCTGAACAAAACATGGAGTTACATTTATCTTATCAGCCATCGGTTTTCAACCCTGTGAATTAAAACATTTAAAAAATTACTTAGATGCGTCAAACAAAAACAAATGGTTACCTCTCCGCTTCTTTAATTCCATTTTGCCTTTCCTGCAGTGTTACTTCCTTTGCTTTAAAAAGGCCCCCAAGTCCATTATGCACAATAATGTAATTGAAAGTTTTCATTTGGTAGTAGAGCTCCACTCGCACAAACCATTCCAGGTGGTACCTGAGGGACGCCTTCAACGTCCAAATATACGAGGCCTCAAAAGCCAAGGAAAGCGCACCTGGAGGAGATGTGTGTCCACCTGGGCAGCAATGTCTTTTCCTGCTGTTTTCTCCTAAGGTTCCCGCATTGTCTCTTCGGCAAAGAGAAATCGTACCCTTTTCATGGACTAGGACACTTCAGCTGATTGAGCAACACCTCTCAGCCTTGGAGCCCGGCACTCCCAGCTGGTCACCAGGCCTCCCAGGGCTGAGGTGTGGTGGAAGGAGGGTTGGGGTCTGGGAGAGGTAATCCTCAGGAACAGGCGTGGCCCTCAGCAGCCAAGCAGAAGAATGGGGCTTGCAAACGACTTCAAAGATTTTAAATATTTGCAGAAACTTAATCCATTCCTTATTCGTGAAGCTAAAAGTATTTTTTAAAGTACCTTTTAGTTACAGCTGTGGAATTTAGGAAACTGCTGTAGGAATTACTTGCTCATAGACACTCCTTACAAGAAGTCACTCCTTACAGTGGCTGCGTGGAGGTGGCTATTTCTGCTAACTGGTCTGCTGCTTAGTCGCCCTTATCCACGAGGATATGTTTCAAGAACCCCCATGGCTGCCTCCAACCATGGATAGCACCAAACCCTATATATACTATGTTTTTATTTTTATTTATTTTTTCTTTTTAAATCCTGCCCCCAATGTGATAGTCACGTTTTTACCTATACATATATACATAGGATAAAGTTTAATTTATAAATGAGGCACAGTAAGAGATTAATAGCAATAACTGGCCTGGCATGGGGGGATCTTGCCTGTAATCCCAGCACTTTGGGAGGACAAGGTGGGTGGATCGCTTGAGCTCAGGCGTTTGAGACCAGCCAGGGGCACGCGGTAAAAACCTGTCTCCGCAAAAAAGACAAAAATTAGCCAGGCATGGCAGCCTGTGCCTGTAGTCCCAGCTACTTAGGAGGCTGAGGTGAGAGGATTGCTTGAGCCCAGGAGGCAGTGGGTGCAGTGAGCCAAGATTGTGCCACTGCACTCCAGCCTGGGTGACAAGAGTGAGACCCTGTCAAAAAAAAAAGCAATAACGAAAGTTAAAAGAGAACAATTATAACAATGTGCCAGCATCACTATTTTTGCACTTTGGAGCCATTATGGAGTAAATAAGGGTTGCTTTAATACACGCACTGTAATCCCTTAACAGTTGAACATCTGATAACCGAGACAGCTGCTGGGCGGCGAAAAGGCAGGCAGTGTAGACAGCGTGTAAATGCTGGACAAATGAAATATTCATATACTGAGTGGACAGAGTGGGATAGCATGAGATGTCCTCAGGCTACTCAGAATGGCATGCAATTGAAAAACTTATGAATTGTTTATTTCTGGAGTTTTCCATTTAATATTTCCAGACTGTGGTTGACCGCATGTAACTGAAATTGCAGAAAGTGAAAGCTTGGAGAATGGAGTCCATCAAAAAATTGTCAGTGTGGTCCTCTATCAGCTGGCTGCAGATTCATCTACTGCAGCTCCCCGCAGATGCCACATTCCAAAGACTATTTGTAGTTCCCTGAACACACTGGAAAGTTTGTTTCCATGCCTCTATTGCTCCAATTTGCTATGACATTTATTTCATTTACCACTTGTTAAATTCTACTCATTTGCTTATTTAAATAATTATTAAGTATTGAGAATAAAATATGAGCAAAATGTGGACCGTGTCCTCCAGGAGTTTAGAATCTGAAAAGAGGCAGACACGTAAACAAGTGTTCAATTCCCACCTATGAGTGAGAACATGCGGTGTTTGGTTTTCTGTCCTTGTGATAGTTTGCTGAGAATTATGTTCCAGTTTCATCCATGTCCCTGCAAAAGACATGAACTCATCCTTTGTTATGGCTGCATAGTATTCCATGGTGTGTATGTGCCACATTTTCTTAATCAAGTCTACCATTGATGGATATTTTGGTTGGTTCCAAGTCTTTGCTATTGCGAATAGTGCCACAATAAACATACATGTGTATGTGTCTTTGTAGTAGCATGATTTATAATCTTGTGGGTATATACCCAGTAATGGGATCACTGGGTCAAATGGTATTTCTAGTTCTAGATCCTTGAGGAATCAACACACTGTCTTCCACAATGGTTGAACTAATACACTCCCACCAACAGTGTAAAAGCTTTCCTATTTCTCCACATCCTCTCCAGCATCTGTTGTTTCCTGATTTTTTAATGATCGCCTTTCTAACTGGCATAAGATGGTATCTCATTGTGGTTTTGATTTGCATTTCTCTGATGGCCAGTGATGATGAGCATGTTTTCATGTGTCTGTTGGCGCATAAATGTCTTCTTTTGAGAAGTGTCTGTTCATATCTGAGAAAGGACACTTTCTTATTCATGTGGTTCCCTCAGGGCTTAGGAAAGCAATTGTTTTGTGAATGAATAAATAAATGAATGAGTGAATGGGTGTGCTAGGCAAGCAAACAGAGGCTAAACCTATCCTAGACCTAAAAGTCAGGGAGAGTTTCCCAGGCAATGCCTAAGTTGAGTTCAGAACACTGACCAAAAGTAAGAATAATCTGTCAATTCTGCTTCCAGATATAAAAACTAACATCTATTGGATGACTCTTTATGCAGAAAACAATGGCAAAACCTGACCATAACACAAAAGGTAACTACCTGAAGGTACTGGAGAGTAAACAGAGGCAAACAGATTCTGGTGGAGAGTTACCCTGGAGAAGGAGGGAAGGGGAGACTAGCAGCTTTGTGGCTTTAGCCTGGGTTGATAGCTGGCCTGGGGAACCAAAAGGGTGGTGCCAGAAAACACTGAATGCTAAATAGAATAGGGGCAGGGAACCATGGAAGGGCGAGAGTCAGAGAACGACTTTCCTAAATCGATCTATCCATATCTCCGACTCACTCCTACAGCAGGAACAAATGGGACAGACTCAAGGTAGATCAGTTACAAACCAAAGGTCTGAACTGAAACCAGAGCTGCTACTTAAAACATAGTTTGCAATTAAACCCAGCCAAGAATATTACCTGCTAAGACAAAGGAAACGACACTCACTGAGGGGGGAAAAACAAAATGCAGAACCTCTACAACTGAACATTCGTAATGTCTAAGCTACAACCCAGAATTCCCTGACACACAAAGAACCAAGAAAACTGAACTAAATTCTCAGAAGAAAAGAAAATCAATCAAGTCTGACCCTGGGATGGAAACATGTTGGACTGAATAGGCAAGGATTTTGAAACTCGATTATAACGATTATAAATGGAAAAAAACATGTTTTCAATGAATGAAAATTTTAGCAGAGAAGAAATCTCAGCAGAGATATAGAAACAATAAAGAACCAAATGGAACTTCTAGACTGAAAAATAAAATTTCTGAAACATAAGTGTACTAAATGAATGTGACATCTAAATGAACTTGACAAAGAAAAGAGTAAGTGAACATAAACAGAGATAAATAGAAATTATCTAAGATATAAAACAGAGAAAGAAGATAAAAAATAAACAGAGCCCTCAGGAATCTGTTAGATGATATCAAACAATCCAGCATGGATGTAACTGAAATAACAGAAAGAGAGGGAAAGAAGAATGGGACAGAAAAACTTGTTTTAAATGGCTGAGATTTCCCAAATTCAATGAAAGATATAAATTTGCAAAAAAAAGATGCTGAACAAACAACTAAAAAACAACAACCCACTAAGAGACACACACAAGGAAGCCCACACCAAGGACATCATAATCAAAGTGCTTGAAGAAAAAGATAAGAGCAAATTTTTGAAGAAGCAAGAGGGTCAGTCACAATGGCTCATGCCTGTAATCTTGGCACTTTGGGAAGCTGAGGTGGAAAGATTGCTTGAACCCAGGAGTTCAAGCCCAGCCTGCACAACATAATGAGACAGACTTTCCTTTCCTTTCCTTTCCTTTCATTTCTTTCTTTCTTTCTCTCCTTCCTCCCTCCCTCCCTCCGTCTCTCTCTCTTTTTCTTTCTGTTTTCTTTCTTTCTCTTTCTTCCTTCCTTCCTTTCTTTTTCTTTCTTTTTCTTTCTTCGTTCCTTCCTTCCTTCCTTCCTTCCTTCTTTCCTTCCTTCCCTCCCTCCCTCCCTCCCTTCTTTCCTTCCTTCCTTCCTTCCTTCCTTCCTTCCTTCCTTCCTTCCTTCCTTCCTTTCTTTTCTTTCTTTCTTTCTTTCTCTCTCTCTCTTTCTTTCTTTCTTTGTTTCTTCTCTGTTTCTTTCTTTCTTCTTTGTCTTTTTTTATCCAGGTTGGGCTTCAGTGGCACAATCATAGCTCACTGCAGCCTTGAACTCTTGGGCTCAAACAATCCCCTCACCTCAGCCTCCCAGGTAACAGGGACTACAGGTACATTCCACCATATCCTGGCTAATTTTTAAATTTTTTGTAGACATAGGGGTCTCACTATGTTGCCTAGGCTGGTCTCAAACTCCTGGGCTCAAGCGATCCTCCCACCTCAGCCTTCCAAAGTACTGGGATTACAGGCATGAGCCACCATGCCTGGCTAAAACCTTGTCTCTTGAAATAAATAAATAAAAAAAGACTCTGTCTCTAAAAACAAAACAAAGAAACCACAACCAAAAAAAAAAAAAAATTAAAAATAAACACAAAAAAACACAAAAAACAACAAACAAAAAAACCCAAAACTCAAACAAACAAAAACAAAGGAGCAAGAGAAAATAATATATTACATACAGAGGAACAATGATCTAATTAATATCAGATTTCTCATCAGAAATTCTGGAGGCTAGAATAAAGTGAAACAGTGTAATTAAAGTGCTGGGAAAAAAACTGTCAATCCAGTATTTTATATCCAGCAAAAATATTCTCTAAGAATTTAGGCGGGGTGCAGCACACCAGCATGGCACATGTATACACATGTAACTAACCTGCACATTGTGCACATGTACCCTAAAACTTAAAGTATAATGATAATAAAAGAAAAAAAAAGAATTTAGGTGAAATAAAGATACAGAGACTTTATTACGAGTAGATGTTCTCTACAAGAATTGCTAAAGAAAGTTCTTCAGGCTAAAGAGAAATAATACCAGAGGAAAATGTGGATCCTCAGAAACAAGGGTTTTGGAAATGGCAAATAATTAGAATATACAAACTTATTTTTCCTTTTGCGTTTTTTCTCTTAATTTCTTTATAAAATATAACTGATTACAGGAAAAATTATAACAATGTCTTTTGGAGTTTTAAATGTATATAGATATAATACATGTAATAACTATAACATAAAAATAGAGGGAAAATATAGATTTACAAAGTTGTAAGATATTTATACTTTACAGAAAATAGTACATATTAACTGTAAGAGAGCTATGAAAGGTTGTGTGTATATAATATATATATATGTGTGTATATATATATGTGTTTGTGTGTGTGCATGCCCACAAGCATATGTATATGTATGTATGTATGTATGTGTGTGTGTATATATATGCCCATATACATATAGTAATCCTTAGGGTAACCAGTAAAAAAAAAAGCAAAAAAGTCTAGCTAAAAATCCATGTGGACAACTAAAATATAATTAACATTTTTTGAGATATTTCCTCCAAGGGAAGGCAGAAATGTAGGAACAGAAGAATAAAGAACAGATGAGATAAGTAAAGAACAATAACAAAAAAATAGACCCAAACCCAAGCATATCAGTAGTTCATTAAAAATTGATAGACTTAACACTCCAGTAAAAGGCGGAGACTTTCAGAATGAAAGTGTGAGAGGAAAAAACAAACTTTTTTTTTTACTTCTACCTGCCAACACAGATCATGTCTATGACCTCTGATCAGCAATCCTCACCAGCAACCAATGCCCTAGCAGATTCTTCAGTGAACACCAGCTGAATGTCCTATAACTCAATTCAATTCTGACAGTATCTACCTGGAGATAGCATCAGATCCCACAGGTTGAGGGCTCAGTCTCACAAGATTGCTTCCCACTCCAAATGCCAACTGCAAGTAATAAGTTGTCACCTACACAGTCATTCCTTGGTAGCTGCAGGGATTGGTTCCAGAATTTTCTGGAGATACCAAAATCTGCAGATGTTCCCATCCCTTTTATAAAATGGTGTAGTATTTGCATATAATTTATGTACATCCTTCTATATACTTTATGGTATCTCTAGATTACTTATAATATCTAATACAATGTAAATATTATGTAAATAGTTGTCATACTGTATTTTTAAATGTTGTGTTTTTTTATTGTTATATTGTTATTTTCTTTATTAGTTTTCTTTTCCCAAATATTTTCAACCCATGGTAGCTTGAACCCGTGAATGTGGAAACCAGGGATGCAGAGAGCTGATTGCACTTCTGATCGATAGGTTATAAATTGGGGATTCTCTGACCCCCTTCTTTAAGTTCAATTGATTTGGTAGGACTGCTCACAAAATCTGTGGAAACATGTATGTTTACTTGTTCATTATAGAGGATATTACAAAGAATACAAATAAACAGGCAGATGGATGGGTGCATAGGGCAAAGTATGTGGGAAAGGTCATGGAGCTTCCGTGCCTTCTCCAAGTGCACCACCCTTCAGGAATCTCCACATGTTCAACTATCTGGAAGTTCTCTGAACCCAGCACTTTTGGTTTTCTGTGGAAGCTTCATTAAATAAGTATGCTTGATTACCTCATTGGCCATTGGTGATCAACTCAACCTTCAGCCTCTCTTTCCTCACTAGAGGTGGAGGGGTAAAATTCCAACCTTCTAACCACATGATTTGTTCCCTTAGCAATGAGTCCCCATCCTGAGGCTATTCAAAAGACTCCAGCCATCAGCAAATCATTAGCATACAAAAAGACACTTATCATTTTGGAGATTCCAATGGTTTGAGAAATTACATGCCAGAAAACAGGGAGGAAAACTAAATAAGTATTTCACAATATCACAGAAAGAAAATAGGACTCAATTATATGCTGTTTACAAAAGACTTCTTTTCAATATAAATACACAAGTAGAAAAATAAAGAGATCTGGAAAGAAATACCATATCAACAGTTAGCATAATAAGGCTGAAGTGGTTATATTAATATCAAATAAAATAGATAAAAAACTAAAATGCATTGCCAGAGATAAAGGGAGACCTTTTGTAGTGTTTCATTGGGAGAAACATAAATGTATATGCTCTGAGTAACAGTTTCAAATACAGGAATAAAACATTGACAGAATGAAACAGGTAAGTAAATAATTTCACAATCATTGTTAGAAATTTTAACACTTCTTTCTCTTGTCAACTGATGGAAGAACTAAACAAAAAATCAGCAATGACATAGAAAATCTAAACAACATTACAAACCACCTCAATTGATATTGATAGAACCCCAACAATTGAAGCATGTAAATTCAAGTGCAAATGGTATGTTAACCAACATAATCCATATTCTAGATCATAAAATAAGTCTCAACAATATTCAAAAGATTGAAATCAAACCAAGTATGTTATCTGACCACAATAAAATGGATTATAAACAAATACAAATAAAATAACTAGAAAAAGCCTAAATGCTTGAAAATTAAACAAACAATATATTTTTAAAAATTATTAGAAGGCCGGGCACGGTGGCTCATGCCTGTAATCCCAGCACTTTGGAAGGCCGAGGTGGGCGGATCACAAGGTCAGGAGATCGAGACCATCCTGGCTAACATGGTGAAACCCTGTCTCTATTAAAAATACAAAAAATTAGCCAGGTGTTGTGGTGGGCACCTGTAGCCCCAGCTACTCAGGAGGCTGAGGCAGGAGAATGGCATGAACCCGGGAGGTGGAGCTTGCAGTGAGCTGAGATTGCGCCGCTGCACTCCAGCCTGGGTGACGGAGTGAGACTCCTTCTCAAAAAAAAAAAAAAAAAAAAAAAAAAAAAAAAAAATTAGAGCAAAGAAGAAATCAAAAGATAAATTATAAGATATTTTGAACTGAAAGAAAATGAATATGTAACACATCAAATATCTATGAGGTACTTAGGGAAAGATGGACAGCTTCAAATGCCTATAATGGAAAAGGAGGAAGGTATCAAACCAGTGATATAAATTATAAGCCTAGAAACTAGTAAAATGAGAATAAATTTAACCCAAACCTAACAGAAAGTAGGAAATAACAAAAATTAGAGCATGACTCAATAAAAGAGAATACAAAAAAATAGAGAAAATCAGTAAAACCAAAGTTGATTCTTCAAAAAAAGAGAAAAGACACAAATTATCAATGTTAGAAATGAGCAATAAGGCATCACTACAGAACCCACAGAAACTAAAAAAGATAATAAGAAAATATTATAAACAATTTCATGCCAATAAAATTGACAACCTAGGTGAATTTAGCAAAGTCCTTCAAAAACACAGATTACCAAAATTGACCAAAGAAGAAATAGAAAGCTTGAACAGCAATATATCAATGAAGAAATTGAATTTATAATCTAAAATCTTCCCACAAAGAAAAACCTAAGTGTAGATTGCTTTACTGACGAATTCTTTAAAACACTTAAGGAAGTGATAATATCAGTTCTACACAAACACTTTCAGAAAATAGAGGAGGGAACACTTTCCAAGGTATATTATGAAGCTAATGTTATTCTGATTTGAAAACCAAAGAGATCACAAGAGAACATCAGACCAATACTCCTCATAAACACAAACATGAAAGAGTTCTCAAAAATATTACCAAATTGAATCAAATAATATATAAAAATGATAAGACATTGTAATCAAGTGGTTTTATCCTGGGAATGCAAGATTGATTTAACATCTAAAAATGAATTTGTCTAATTCACACTATTAATAGAATAAAGGAGAAAACCCATATGATTATTTCAATAAAGGCAGAAAAACGTGACATATTTATCACTCTTTTGAGATGAAAATCTTTGGGAAACTAGAAATATAAGGGACTTTCTTCAACCTAAGAATGTGTATTAAAAACCTACAGCTGTCAATGCTTTCTATCTACAATCAAGAACAAGTTCAGGATATCTGCACTTACCATTTCTATTTAACATTGTACTGAATGTCCTAGCCAGGATAATTAGATAAGAAAAAGAAATAAAAGGTATAAATATTGGAAAAATAGAATTAAAACTCAGGATGGGAATGCCACATAGTACAGCCACTTTGAAAAATAGCATGGCAGTCTTGTCAAGTTAAACATAGACTTACCACATGACCTTGCAACTTCACTCCTAGGTATTTACTCAAGAGAAATGTCAACATACCTCCACACAAAGATGTGTATATGAAGATTAAAGCAGTTTTATTCATAAGAGCCAAACACTGGAAATAATTTAAATGCTCACTCATTGATATACAAATGAACAATTATAGCATATTCATACTGAGGAATACCACTCAGCAGTAAAAAGGAACAAAATATTAGTACATAAGAGAATATAAATGAATTTCAAGGACATTGAGTGAAAGAAGTCAAACACGAAAGAACAAAGACTACATACTGTATGATTTTACTGCAGTGACAGAAATCAGATCAGTGGTTGCTTGAGGGTCAGAAGAAGGGATCAACTAAAAAGGAGCACAAGGAAGCTTTTAGAATAAGAGAAATATTACGTATCTTTTCTTTCCATGCCATGAAGAGCTGGATATCATATATCTTAATAGTGGTGGTTACATGGTTACATATAATTATCAAAATTTATCAAACTGTACACCTAAAATGGATGATTTTTTGCATGTAATACCTTAATTTTTTAAAAAAGATGATTTTTTTAAGTGATTGGGTTAAAAGTTGGCCACAACAAACCTGGTTTGACTTAGCACTTAAGTCCATGGGAAATTTATTTACCCTCTCAAGGCTCAGTTTCTACTTTTATAAAACAGAGATGAGTATCTCTCTTACAAAATTGTGGTGATGAGTAAACAGGATAATTGATGCACCTGCCACCAAATCGGTGCTCAATACACATAAACCATGAAGATAAAAGGAGGCTGGCAGGACAGGTAGAATGCACATTCCAGAGAGAGCAAACAACACATGCAGAGGCATAAAGGTGAATGAGCAGGATCAACTGTTCAGTCTGGTGGGAGTGTAGGGAGAGGGAAAATGTAGGAAATGAGAACCAGGATGCTGATCCTCGAAGGCCCCTGCCTACCACACTAATGAGTTTGGATTTTATTTTGAAGTCCCTGGGAGTTATTAAAGGGGCAGTGCAATGTAGTGTTTAATTATATTTTGGAGCCAGATTGGATTTGAATTTTGGTTCTCTCATTTATTAACTGTGAAACTTTGGAAAGTTCTTCACGTTCTCAGTAGTTTTCTCAACTGTAAAAACGAAATCATCTCACTTGTTATGACGATTAAATGAGTGCTACGTTTTCCACATTCTCTGGCACATAACAATCAATGTGATTAAACTTGCATTTTAGGGTGTGGACAGTGGTTCGTAGGCAACAGGCAGCAAGGAAATCCATGAGAAAAGAGTTTCACTCTCTAAGTGAAAACTGAAGGTGACCCAAGCTAAGGCAATGATCATAAGGACAGGAAAGGAGACAGGTTGGGAAAATATATAGGAGGTGGAGTCAACACAGCTCAGGACAATGGGGTGGTCATGAGGGGAAGAAAGGAATCAAAGGTAACACTCACCGAGGTTTCTGGTCTTGGAGGTAGGGCCATTTATCTAGATTTAGGGGCCTTGCACAGTGACTCACAACTGCAATCCCAGTACCCTGGGAGGCTGTGCCAGGAGAATTGCTTGAGGCCAAGAGCTCAAGACCAGCCTGGACAACATGGCTAGACCCTCATCTCTACCAAAAATTACACACACACACACACACACACACACACACACACACACACGGGAAACACAAGACCACCATTTCTCACATCAACTTCTCACTGAATGAGGTTATTATATCTGCTCATGACTAAAACACATTTCCCCACCCTATCCCCAAGGTGCCCCCAACAAATGCACGCTACATTGAATTGCTGATCAGAGATTAGAGGGGTATGAGCAGGTCTGGAAGGAATGCAGGTTTCTAGCTGGACACTAAGAAAAGGAAAAGTGATCACATTTAAGATGGAAAATGAACAGCTGCCTTCCCCAGGAAAGGAAGTTTGTATCATCTCACTGTATCTCCTCTGTGTTTCCCTTTGTGACTCCAAAAAAATACTGACAAACACTCTAAATGAAAAACATCCCTAGAAAAAAAAAAAGAGAATCTTACAGAATCTTACTACAAAATGAAACCTACGAGTCTGCCCTACTTAGAAGACAAGGAAACTGTAGAGGCTGCTAGCTCCTGTAGCCAAGTGTGGCTGCACAGAGCATCACAGCAAACATGTCACATTCAAATGCACTGTGGCTTCCTGTAAAAGAATTGACTCATATATATCATAGAAACGTCTAATAGATAATGTCTATTACATTATAATTTTTTTTGCTTACTTGGCTAAATTTACTGAAATACATATTTACTTTTTCTACATGTATTGCTTACCTTGTAAACAATTTGGAATGTCATTTTCTCCCTAATTTGTGTTTTATGTCTTGTATCAATTTTACTGTGTTAAATCAAGTTCAGCCTAAAGCTGCCTCCTTACGTATTTTAAGTTCAGCCTAAAGGTTTCTCTGTACATCGTGAACTATAACAAGTGGAGGTGTAAACCGATGGTAGCCCACACTTGTGCCAATTGCTGAGTTTTGGCCAATCAAATGTAGCCAACTGTTTGAACCATGTTCAAATAAAGCAAACCCTGAGCTGTAACAAATCCGCTGCCTCTGTCCCTCACTTCCTCTTTCTGTTCATAAACATTCTTCCACGACGTGCTGTGCTGGAATCCCTGAGCCTGCTCTGGCCTGGGAGGCTGCCTGATTTGTGAGTCCTTCATTGCTTCATTAAATTCTTTTACATTTAATCCGGTTGAAGTTTTCCTTTAATGAACTGATTTTTTAAAAAGTACCTAAGGTTAGCTTTAAAAAAAAAAATCTGTCCTTAAAAATTGGGTTGGCCAGGCGCAGAAGTGCAGTGGCTCATGCTTGTAATCCCAGCACTTTGGGAGGCTGAGGTGGAAGGATCGCTTGAGTCCAGAAGTTCAAGACCAGCTTGGTCAACACAGTGACACCTGGTCTCTTAAAAATAAAAGAGAGAGAGAGAGAGAAATAATTGGGTTGTGACTTATACTCTATACAATGTATATAACAAGACATACAATATATCTAGTTAGATAGAGAGCCATAGTTCCAATGAGCTAATAATACACATGGATTGTGGTAAGCTATGAGTGGCATATATAGAGACCAATAGGAAATGAGTTAATTCTGATTGCAGATATCTAAGCAGGCGAACAAGGCATTTGACATATGGATCAATTTTCCACTGGCAGCAATGAGGGAGGTTTTTGCAATGAACGGTTATAGACATGGAGGTGGGAAAAGTTAAGCCATGTACAAGTGTATTCATTGGCTAGGGCTGTTGTAACAAAGTACCAGAGACTGGGAAGCTTAGACAACAGGTATTTCTTTCATTTTTGGATGCTAGGAATCTAAGATCAAGGTGTCAGCAGGAGGATTCGTCCCTTCTGAGGGCTGCAAGGGACAATCTGTTCCATGCCTCTCTCCCAGCTCTGGTGGTTTGGTGGCAATCTCTGGCGTTACTTGGCTTGTGGGAGCATCAACCCTCCAGCTCTGGCGGTTTGGTGGCAATCTCTGGCGTTCCTGGGCTTGTGGGAGCATCACCCCAATCTCCGCCCTCATCTTCACCTGATGTTCTCCCTGTGTTTCTTGACGGTGTCTTCTCCATGTGTGTGTGTGTCTTTGTGTCCAAATTTTCCCTATTTATAAGGACCAAAGTCATATTGGGTTAGGTGTCCATCCTACTGACCTCATCTCAACTAATTATGTCTGCAACAACCTGGCTTTCAAATAAGGTCACATTTTGGAGTACTGGGAGTTAGAACTTTAACATGTACGTTATTTTTAAGGCCAGGGTGAGAAGGACATGATTTAACCTTTAACAACCAGTATGGGCCAGGTGCTGTGGCTCACGCCTATAATTCCAGCACTTTGGGAGGCCGAGGCAGGTGGATCACCTGAGGTCAGGAGTTTGAGACCAGCCTGGCCAACATGGTGAAACTCCGTCTCTACTAAAAATATAAAAATTAGCTGGGCTTGGTGGTGTGTGCCTGTATGTAGCCCCAGCTACTCGGGAGGCTGAGGGAGGAGAATCGCTTGAACCCAGGAGGTGGAGGTTGCAGTGAGCCAAGATTGCACTATTGCACTCCAGCCTGGGCGACAGAGCAAGACTCTGTCTCAAAAAACGACAACAACAACGACAACAACAACCAGTATGTAAGGCATATAGTGTGGCTGACATGTAGGGCCTGTAGTTTGGAGGGTACGGGAAAGTGAGACCAGAAAGAGACCGTGGCAAGCTTTTTAGTAAAATACTAATAATGGCAAACACTGGTTGACCAGTTGTTTTATCCCAGGTACTGTTCTCAGCACCTCATGGATTTGATTATTTAATCCTCATCATTTTATAGATGTGGGAATGGGGGCACAAGGAGCATACTTGGCTCAACTTTGAAACTTTCTTGAAATTCCTCCAAAAGGGATGTACTTTTTAAAAAAATAAAAGAAAGAAAGTAAACAAGGAAATGATGAAGAAAAGTCACACTTTCTGTTGGAAGAAGGCTGCTTTAATCAGGTTTGTGGAAGCCAAATCAATGTGACTCCGCCTTCACCAGCCTGAATTGTTTTTTTCTCTCCTAAAAGTCGACTGGTCAGGAAGCTCTGAGTCAGGACTGAGTCATAGTTGTGGTATGTTCTCCAACTAGAAAACAAACTTTGTTTTTAAAACCACTAAAGAAATGTTTGAATAAATAAATGTGCTTCTGTAGCCATCATCTCTGATTCATGAGTTTTTTGAATGGTTCACTACCAATGTTCCTCTGATTGCCGCAGAGTTTGGACAGTGGATATTCTCCACACTTAAAGGTGGTCTTGTCCAGTCTTTCCACCGTCCGTCTTGCTACTGCTTTTTAAATGCCTTCTCAAAAGCTAATCAAAAATTTATGAATAATTCCAAGCTGGGCAAACCGGTTCAACTGGCCTAAGTGCAAGAGGAAAAAGGAAAAGAATTCAAGTGAGAAATTATGCTGGTGTGGATTATTAAGAGCTATGGTTTTGTACAAATACTGCTTCCAGTCTTAGTGGGTCTCTCCTAAAAACCCCAGAGTCCAACCAAACCTAGGAACAGAGAAAATCTAGAGAAGGTAGAGAGAGAGTTGAAAGTCATTTCTTTTAAGGTGTTTTACTTTATGTTTCTATTTTCCCACACAAGGAACATTACCCAGATTTGTGAATGATAATAACACGTTTATTTCTATTTGTTATTTTTCCCTTAAAACAACATATATATTATCTTACAGTTTCAATCGGTCAGGAATCCAGGCATATCTTAGCAGGATCCTCTGCTCAGGGTGTCACAAAGCTGTAGTCAATGTGTTGGCCAGGTGGCAGTTCTCATCTGGAGGATCAACTGGGGATGAATCTGCTTCATTCAGCTTGTTAATAGAATTCATTTCCTTGCAGCTGTAGAACATACAGTGCTGTGCTTCTTCAAGGCCAGCAGGAGGGTTGACCCCAGGGAAATCTTCAGCCCTCTTCTTTTTTTTTTTGAGACAGAGTCTCACTCTTGTTGCCCAGGCTTGAGTGCAATAGTGCAATCTTGGCTCACTGTAACCTCTGCCTCCCAGGTTCAAGCAATTCTCCTGCCTCAGCCTCCCAAGTAGCTGGGATTACAGGCGTGTGCCACCATGCCTGGTTAATTTTTGTATTTTTAGTAGAGACAGGGTTTCACCATGTTGGCCAGGCTGGACTCGAACTCCTGACCTCTGGTGATCCCCCTGCCTCAGCCTCCCAAAGTGCTGGGACTACAGGCTTGAGCCACCGTGCCCAGTTCTCCTCTTCCAAAGGACTTCCAATGATTAAGTCAGGCCTGCTCAGGATATTCTTTTGGTTAATTTAAAGTCACCTGGAACCTTATCCACAGTGAAGAATGAATGACTTGCAAGGTTTACCTATTACTTTCTTCACTAGCTTTATTTGCATCTGGGCCTTATGCCAAAGGGATGAAATGCAAAGGGCAGAATTGCATTCATCAGTGATTCTGATGGAACATCTGCAAAAGTCCTTCATCCTTGCTATATAACCTGAGGATAATACTAGGGGACAGAGATCATGGGGACCATTTTAGAATTCTTCATGCCGTAATCACTTTCTGGTAATATCCTATTTATGGTTGTACTTGGAAGGTGCTACAGTTATCACCCTATTTTCTGAATAAGGAATAATGACGCTTTTAAATAGAAAGATTGAGGCCGGGCACGGTGGCTAATGCCTGTAATCCCAGCACTTTGGGAGGCCTAAGCGGGCAGATCACTTGATGTCAGGAGTTCAAGACCAGCCTGGCCAACATGGCAAAACCCCATCTCTACTAAAAATACTAGCCAGATGTGGTGGTGGATACCTGTAATCCCAGCTACTCAGGAGGCTGAGGCAGGAGTGTCACTTGAACCCAGAAGGCGGAGGTTGCAGTGAGCTGAGATGGCGCTGCTGCACTCCAGCCTGAGAAACAGAGCGAGACTCCATCTCAAAAAAATTAAAATAAATAAATAAATAATAAATAAAAAGGTTGAATATCCTCTCCTAAATGTAGACTGGGCCATCAGAAAATACACTTTCCATAATCATGGAGTCATAGAAGAGCATGTTAGACACAAATTTTTTTCTAATTTTTTAAATTTTTTTGAGACAGAGTCTCACCTCAGGCCTCACCCAGGCTGGGGTGCAGCAGTGGCGTGATCTCAGCTAACTGCAACCTCCGCCTTCCAGGTTTAAGTGATTCTCCTGCTTCAGCCTCCCGAGTAGCTGGGATTACAGGCACACACCACCACATCAGGCTAATTTTTGTATTTTTAGTAGAAATGGGTTTTCACCATGTTAGCCAGGCTGATGGACGCTACCTTATAATCAGCTGGTCCATCCCCCTGTGTTTTAGAGACAGAAACCAAGGAAACAGCAGTGACTTGCCAAGGTCACAGAACTTGTTCTTCTGAATTAGATTCTATATTCAATGCATTGAAAGTTTGTGATCAAAAGTCAGAGTGAAGTAGGGATTTGCAAATAATAAAAACTGAGGTGCAAGAGCTTTTTTTAAAATAACGCTTTTTTTTTTAAAGAGACAGGGTCTCACTCTGTTGCCCAGGCTAGAGTGCAGTGGCACGATCACAGCTTACTGCAGCCTCCAATTCCTGGCCACAAGTGATCCTCCAGTCTCAGCCTCCTCAGCATGTACCATCATGCCTGGCTAATTTTTATTTTATTTTATTTTTGAGATAGGGTCTTGCTCTGTGTCTCAGGCTGGAGTGCAGTGGTGTGATCTTGGCTCACTGCAGCCTTGACCTTCCCGGCTCGAGTGATCCTCCCACCTCAGCCTCCCAAGTAGCTGGGACTAGAGGCATGCACCACTATGCCAAGCTGATTTTTGTATTATTATTTTTTTTAGAGGTGGGGGTCTCACTATGTTGCCCAGGCTGGTCTTGAGCTCCTGGGCTCAAACAGTCCACCTGCCTCAGCCTCCCAAAGTGCTGGGACTACAGGCATGAGCCACTGTGCCCCACCTCACGTTTTATTTTTAGTTTTTTGTAGAGACGGGGTTTTGTTGCTCAGTCTGGTCTGGAACTCCTGGCCAGCCTCAAGCAATCCTCCCACCTCAGCCTCCCAAAGCACTGGGAATACAGGCATAAACCACTGCTTATGGTCAAAAATAACACTTTCATGTATAATTTTCTCATTAGAAATTTGTCAAATCACACCTAGAACTGAGAACACCACCGAGCCTCTTCAGGGACTTAGAAATCAGGGAAACCCCTGATGTGTGTGAATATACATTGGCCTGCGTCCTGGCCGGGGAAGGCAAGTTTAAGTTTTCAGAGGATTTGTAGGTTGGATGTCATGATTGCCTTCCTCAGGGCTGTCATTTCTTAATGTCTTTTATATTCTTCTTCTCATCTCCCTTCTGCACTGAGTCAGGGCCTCTCTCATGGAGCAACAGTCTTCCCACAGAGAGTAAAGTCATCACAGTGGAGGCTTGCTCAACCTTTACAAATTCTAAAACCACAGGCCAACATTAACTTCCTCCATTTCTCACCGGAAATCAACATGGCCACCACCATCGTGCCTCATCCTGCTCCTCTTGGACTGTAAATCATGGCTTGTTCATTGTAAGCCGTCAATTGCATGTTGTTTCAGTTGTCTGCCAACTCAATTCTATCAGTGTGTTTTGACTGATAGAATTTTGTAAACTCCCTTTTACATTTATTTGTATTTGACGAGATGGTTTGATTTTGTTGAGCTGTCTTCCTCTTTGTTATCCCTCCTATCACAGTTCTTGGAGCTCACTACCCCTTTTCAGATTGTCATGGGCAGGCAAATTGCTGGTCCCCTCGCCTTGCAAGGTCCTTTGCATAACCACACAGTTTTCACTTGAAAAGACAATAGAGTTGCCAGATAAAATACAGGCCCCTGCAAGATCTGGAACACACTCTGCACGATGCCATGCAGTATTTGGGATATACTTATGCCAAAACTTGTTCATTATTTATGTGAAATTCAAGTTTAATTTGAATTAAATATTGGCACCCGTATTTTTATTTGTTAAATTTTTATTTGTTAAATATTTGTTAAACTTTTATTTGATATACTTATGCCAAAACTTGTTCATTATTTATGTGAAATTCAAGTTTAATTTGAATTAAATATTGGCACCTGTATTTTTATTTGTTAAATCTTGCCACCCTCAAGTACAAACGCCTCTGTACCTCAGAGGCATAAGAATGTGCAAATGGGATTCATGCAACTCACAACCTAGACCTCCCTCTCTTTTCTATCTTCAAAAACCAATGTTCTTTTACTGTTAAGAACCTTGGGAGAGAGGGAAATCACAAGGTAGTCTTAAGCAGATTACTACACTCTTGTAGTGATAACATTTAATTAAAAAATTGATTTATTTTTCTTCTGACTTAAAAGCAAAATGAAACAAAACAAAACAAAACCCCAAACCACAAACTCAGGCCTCCTCTCTGGGCTTCCCTGCACACAGGCTGATGTTAACTGCACTGAGCACCCTGGGAACATCAGTCCAACTGCAGGCACTGGAATCGCTGTAGACCATGACGGACAATGGCTCCCATACACACAGTATTCCAGTCTTGGGAGTGAAAATGGCCCCGTGCAGCCTCACGGCCCATGGGTTTAGGCTGAACTTTGAGACCATTTCTTTTTATTCACACCTGGGATGGCCTAGCCCAACTGAAACCAAGCAACCTGGACGCCCTATCAGTGGCTGTGAAATCATAGGCCAAATTCCTCTGTGGCAAAGACTTCCTGTAAAAAATACCGTTAAGGCCTAGCCAGGTCCGAAATGAATAAATGAATAATCATTGATTATTGATCAATGCTTTTTAATCAGTGCCCTCTGTGAAAAGGAACTATCCCTCCCCACAAAACTCTTTTATGAATAGAACCAGAATGGTTGAAGGGTGGTTTCATTCTTTTTTTTAAGAGATGGGGTCTTGCTGTGTTGCCCAGGCTAGTCTTAAACTCCTGGCCTCACGTGATCCTCCTGCCTCAGCCTCGGCCACTGAGCCTGGCTCATTCACTTTTTACCTACTTTTGGAACCTCAAATGGTAACTAACTTACCAAGTGATTGGCATAGCTACCAAGGTGAAATGTTAAATTTAATGCAGTGTCACATCGTTCTTCCAGATTCGTGGTGAGTAGGATTATCCAACAATCCCTCTCATGTATTTCTTTCTTTTTTTTTTTTTTTTTTGAGATGGAGTCTCGCTCTGTTGCCCAGGCTGGAGTGCAGTGGCACGATCTCGGCTCACTGCAAGCTCCGCCTCCTGGGTTCACACCATTCTCCTGCCTCAGCCTCCCGAGTAGCTGGGACTACAGGCACCCGCCACCACGCCCGGCTAATTTTTTGTATTTTTCATAGAGACGGGATTTCACCGTGTTAGCCAGGATGGTCTCGATCTCCTGACCTCGTGATCCACCCACCTCGGCCTCCCAAAGTACTGAGATTACAGGCGTGAGCCACCGTGCCTGGCCCCTCTCAAGTATTTCTAACCAAAATGATCAACCTTCTGTACCCTGAACTTACAGATTCTGTTCTAAAGTCAGTGTGAGAATTATTCCATCTAGGTTAGTACATTTGTCTCTAGAAAAACGACCCATGGGGAGACAGTGTTCCCCATGCCATTCCTTGCCTTTTGGGCCCACCACAAATCCTGATATTTAAGGCCCTTAAGTTAAATAATTCTGCCATGAAGCATGAAATGTAAGTACAGCTTAAATAATCATAAAAGAGAGACTATATGTCCAAGCAGGCAGCATGCACCTTGATGGGTGATGAGTACGTTAAGATAAATCATGCCCAGATTGCAAGGTGTGGGAGGCGTAGTGCACCATCCAGATTGCCCGGCAAATCTGAGGGACTCTGGGAGTGCTGCTGGCTGACAGCCTTCAGCTGTCTGTCCTCTCCAGAAATTGCTCTTGGCTGCAGAGATCCTCTTGCTTAAGGTCATGTCCTCTTGTGAGGGCAGTCGGTATCCGATGACTGTTCATTGCAGAGGTATAAGGGCTCGGACCCCGTGCCCCAACTCATGACAACTCTGAAGGCCCATGGGGTCAGCTGAGGTCACCCTTTCTCCTGGGGTGTTAATCCCAAGAGCACTCTAGCAGGCGTCCTGCATGCTAACTTCCATCTCAGAGCCTGTTTCCCCAGGAAGCAACCTGTAACTGGTGATATCAAGGATATTTCAACATGGCCTGCTGCAGTGGCTCACACCTGCAATTCCAACACTTTGGGAGGCTGAGGCAGGAGGAGGGCTTGAGCCCAGGAGTTTGAGACCAGCCTGGGCAACATAGGGAGACCCTGCCTCTGCAGATAATTTTAAAAACTTAATTTCAAAAGTAATATTCCAAGAAAGCAGATGCTAAGATGGGATTCTGCAGCTGAGTCACCTGTGTTTCTGGTTGGCAATGAGGACTTCATAACCGCTGGTAGATGAGGCACAGCCTAGCCCTAGGAAAAGGCAGCAGTGCAATTGTTAAAACTTCTGCCAGTAGTGAATTTGGATGGCAAATGAGTGGAGGGGAATACAGTAGCCATCGAAATGTATTAGACATTTGAGAAACGTGGGGGGAATGAAGGACAGTGGAATTGGATGACTGTTGCAGGGGAACTGCCGCTTCGAAAAATGAAAGGCTGGCAGTGAATGCACAACTCACCAGCTAGGTATGAAAACCAGAGACCTTCTTGGCAACGTATAAGGGAATCCCCATCTCCAGTCACCAGAGAGCAGAAAAAGCTGAGGATCAGGCCCAGTTTTTAATCATAAGAGTAGCAGAATTCTAGAAAGTGTTAAACTCTCATCCTGGGTAGGTCTGCTTTGCCCAGGTCGGGGCTCTGATGAGCAGAAAGTGGAACCTGGAGATATGAGATTGAAACACTTGTGTCCATGTGCTTGAAAATCCTGATTCCCCAGAACCCTTTGAGCCTAGGGAATGGCTCCCTCCTCCATACTAAGGGCTAGCACCCACCCCATTTATTTGAACACAGTGCAGCGGCCATGTCCCTGCAAGACAGCAGGCACCCTCTTCAGGGTCTGTCCTTACCTGCCCTCTTGACCATTAGGCCAATAACTATATTCTGTAACCCACCTGGGGAGATGCGGGACCTGTGAAGGGAGAAAAAGAGCGATACACTGAAGGGGCTGCAGGGCCAAGCTTACCTCAGTGGGCAGGATCCAGCAGAGCGCAGACAGGGCTGGGCTCTGAGAGTGCAGAATCAGGGAGTGGGGTTAGGGTGGGAGGTTGGGGGTGGTACTGACTGTTTTTTCTTACTTTCTGTACTCTTAATGCTCTGGCATTTGGGGCCTTCATCCTGGAGAGGCTCCCAGGGCCAGCTAATTCCTAGGGATAGCAAGCGACATCCCTGTGAGCATGCATTTCATATACAAACCAGCCAATCCAGAGCCACACCCTCAGCCATCTCTTTTATCAGACTCTCACACACCAGCCTGGCATGGTGGTGCATGCCTGCAGTCCCAGGTACTTGGGAGGCGGAGGCAGGAGGATCCCTTGAGCCCAGGAGTTTGAGGCTGCCATGTGCTCTGATTGTGCCTGTGGTTAGCCACTGCACTCCAGCTTGGGCAACATAGTGAGACCCTGCCTCAAAAAAAAACCAAAAAACAGAAAAACTCTCACACACCAAGCTAATATTCCCCTTGCCCTAAATTGCCCCAGGGCAGTCACTGGGCAAATGGGGATCACCCCGTAGCCGTAGCCCAGAGCCAGTTGAAATTATTCAAACTATCCAACACTATACTTACTTTGCATCCTTACCCTGCCTCACCCATGCTTTCCTGAGAAAACCCCAAGAAAGGCTCTGGGCCTGCCCTCCCTCTTCTTATCACTCCTGAGCATCCCTGGTCCTTCCCTATTGGCCCTGCATGGTGTGCTGTGCCTCGTGTTTCAGGGATGTGTGAGTATGAACTTCCTTCCTGACAATCATTTCCATGTCTGCTGTCCCACCGTACCTGAATAAAACAATTCCTTGGTACATTTTTAACACAGGGTGGAGCGCAGAGCTGGGCAAGGGAAATTTGATAGATATGGGAGCATTCTCCAAGGATACAAGATTTAATACTCTGGCAAGGATCCCAGGAGGAAGAACTCCTGTGTTGCTAGTGGGGCTTCTGGGAGGCCGGAGAAAGCAATGATTCGTGCTAAACCAAGTCAGTGTGCCAGAACTATTGTGGCAAGCGCTGGAAGAAAAGATCACAAAGGCCAGAGAAGTGGGTATACTAGAGTATACTCGCACTATGTGAGGCTGGAAAATTCACCAGATAGTCTGCAGGAGAGTCTGAAGTACATGCCACTTCCTGAAGTGATCAGGAATGAACTGGGGAGAGGGACACCAGCATTGTTGAAAAGTTTGGCGAGTCTCACTGGTTCAGCTGTTCTCAATAGACCAGCACTGATGGTCATTATAGAACTGGGATCTCTGATGACAACAGGGATGATAAGATCCCCAAAGAATAGGGATCAGGTGGTTACATTTTGCTGTCAGAAGTGAGGGGGCATGATGGTTATAATGAGTGCAAGATCAGAAGGTCAGCTAAGGGAACAAGTCCGCACAGAGCTTTGGAGATGCTTCATAGACATAGTGTTCCTAGGGCTCTGTGGAGGGCCATCACATGGATGAGCACCGATTAACTTATACAATAAAAAAATAGAGGATGGATGAGGGCAGC
The DNA here is from genome assembly GCF_000001405.40 of Homo sapiens. Taxonomy (NCBI): domain Eukaryota; kingdom Metazoa; phylum Chordata; class Mammalia; order Primates; family Hominidae; genus Homo; species Homo sapiens. The sequence goes on along the minus strand of NC_000001.11, from coordinate 244,314,583 downwards.
TGCCATAATAAAAATATATGATTCCAAGCAGGGCATGGTGGCTCACGTCTGTAATCCCAGCAGTTTGGGTGGCTGAGGTGGGAGGACCGCTTGAGGCCAGCAGTTCAAGACCAGCCTGGTCAACATAGCGAGACCCCATCTCTACAAAAAATTTAAAAAAATTAGCCAGGTATGGTGACACACACCTGTAGTCCTAGTTACTTAGGAGGCTGAGGCAGAGGATCACTTGAGCCCAGAAATTCGAGGCTGCAGTGAGCTATGGTTGTACCACAGCACTTCAGCCTGGGTGACAAAGCAAGACTCTATCTCTAAAAAAATTGTAAAAAATAATTAAAAAGTTACAATCCCTTGTTCTTTTTTTGGGGCCTGAGATATTTTTCAAGCCCAGAATCCAATGACCGAAGAAGAGGCTGGGTCCTCACTAGGAAAAGCCCGGCAGCCTCAGGGCTGTAAGTAGTAATGTTTGCCCCAGGCTTTCCCCATTGATCCTTATGGTTATTTTCTCAGATAACGACATTGCTTATCCTCAGAGCCATGATACACCCCTGTTAGAATGGAGGCATGTGGGGTTCAGACAGTAAATGGAATTCTGGCCCATGTCTGGCTCACATTGATTCCACTGGGTCTACTGACCCGTCTGGTGGGCATTGCCCCAGAACCTGAATATGCAATTAATGTAGAATCAATCTACGTTGATTCCTTGGCCTTTGTGGTAAGAGCTATTGCAATTAAGAAGAAAAGGGGAGAGTCTTTGAAACTCCCCCATCAGCATCAATTATTGTCATTTAAAAAAATCATCCAGAATAATAGCCATACTGGCCAGTTTTTCCAGCACTGTCATAAGGAGGGAAGGGAGCCTGGGAGAGCCACACACCCAAAGTCCTTTCATAGCCCGCCAGGAAGGGGAGTGTTGCAACTTGGAAATAAGCAGTTGAGATACAGATAGGAAAACAAGCCTCCCGTAGTGCACCTACAGAGACCCTCTCCAAGCTTCAGGGCCCCGGGCCACCTGCCGCCAGGCCAAGCTGCTGTGCTGTAAGCTCCTGGACCACATTCTCTGGCTCATGATGTACATGCTATGTCATCGGTGTGGATTGTTGAACAACATAGAGTTAGATATTGAACACCACGGATTTTAAAACACAAGGGACTGGATTATGTAAGACATAAACAATAGGCTGGGCACGGTGACTCACGCCTGTAATCCCAGCACTTTGGGAGACTGAGGCGGGTGGATCAGTTGAGGTGAGGAGTTCGAGACCAGCCTAACCCAATATGGTGAAACCCCGTCTCTACTAAAAATACAAAAATAGCCGGGCGTGGTGGTGCACACCTGTAATCCCAGCTACTCGGGAGGCTGAGGCAGAAGAATCACTTGAACCTGGGAGGCGGAGCTTGCGGTGAGCTGAAATTGTGCCATTGCACTCCAGCCTGGGCAATAAGAACAAAACTCTGTCTCAAAAAAAAAAACAACAAAAAAACAACAAAAAAAACAACTATATCTATATGTCTATATATCTATATATCTATCTATATCTATATATATGTGTGTGTGTGTGTATATATATATATATATATATATATATATATATATATATATATATAAATAGTTCAGAGAGAATTATGGCCCTGGAATAGATGAAGCCTTCAAATGCAGGCCGAAGGTTCTGAGGCATCCTCCAAGATGCTCTGGGGCCATCGTGCGAGCCAGGCTGGCAGGTTTGGAGACAGTCAGAGGAGAAAACCTCTTCCATGTCATCAGCTCCGAACTCCTAACGCCCCTGAGACCACCCTCCTTTACAGACATTGTCAAAGCCAATCACTGTATGAGAGGAGGAAGGAAAGGGAAAGGAAATTAGGGCATGCTAATAAAGGGACTGTGGGAGCTTGAGGAAAGATTACGGGTTAAAGGTAAATGTAAGAAAAAACAGGCCAGATGAAGTGGCTCATGCCTGTAATCCCAGCACTTTGGGAGGCTGAGGCAGGTGGACTGCTTGAGCCCAGGAGTTCGAGACCAGCTTGAACAACATGGTGAAAACCTGTTTCTACAAAAAATACCAACATTAGCCGGCTATGGTGACGTACGCCTCCAGTTCCAGTGATACAGAAGGGCTGGGCTCCTGGCTAAACCCCAGCCTTAAGCCTGGAACCGTGGCCCTAAGTGAAAACAGCTGATCCCATTTTTCTGCCCAAATGTGGCTTTTTGGGCCTCCCCCGCCCCTATCCTGTGCCCATAAAAGACTTCAGCTGGCAGAACAACACAAGTGGCTGAGTGTCGCGGATCCAAGCAGCTGAGTGTTGTGGATCCAAGCAGCTGAGCGGTGAGCAGAGAAGCAACTGAGCACCAGAGACTACAGATAGATGTGGCCAACTTCAGACAGCGTGGCTTCAGAGAGGGGCCCAGCCAAAGACGGCAGAGCTTCAGGAAAAGATCACCTTCGCATGCCCTTTCCAGCCTCCCTTTCTGCCCAGAGCCACCCACTGCTCAATAAAGTCTTCCGCATTCATCACCTTTCAAACACTTCATGTGACCTGATTCTTCCTGGACACCAGACAAGAACCCAGGTGCCAAGAGGGGAGGGGCTGCCACCCTGACCCTCCACTGAGCTGACTGGCACTTGGCTGTCCTCAGACGGCAGAGCTGAAAGGGCAATTGGTTGTAACATGCTTGGATGCTGCTGCGGGGCCTGCACAGAGCCTGCTCCTGCCGGAGAGGAGCGACCAGCTGGCTCCAGAGTTCATTCGCTCTAGTTCCTGCACTCACTCACTCACACGCCACCTCCCAGGAGCAGTGGCCAGTGGTGGGCTAAATCTAAAAAATAAAATAAATAACCTACTAAATCTGAAAGGTAATGAAAGATATAAGTTGAAATGCTTTAGATTTAAAGTGGAAGAAATAAAAGGTAAAAGCTTTTATTAGCTAAATTAAAAGCTTGAAAAATGAGGAGACAGATTTTAGATTGAGATTAGAAATATATGTAATAGGCAAAAAGGAATTGCATTTTACTTTATTTGATAGGAATAAAAAGGAAAGAAAGCTGAACGTGGTGGCTCATGCCTGTAATCCCAGCACCTTGTGAGGCTGAGGCAGGAGGATTGCTTGAGCCCACTAGTTTGAGATCCGCCTGGGCAATACAGTGAGCCCCTGTTTCTACAAAAAATTAAAAATTAGCCAGGTATGGTGGTGCACACCTGTAGTCCTAGCTACACGGGAGGCTGAGGTGAGAGGATTGCTTGAGCCCTTGAGGTCAAGGCTGCAGTGAGCCATGTTTGTGCCACTGCACTCCAGCCTGGGCAACAGAGTGAGACAGTGTCTCAAAAAGAAGGAGAAGGAGAAAGAAAGAGAAGGAGAAGGAGTGGAAGAGGAGGAGGAAGAGGGAAGAGGGAAAAAGGAAGAAGGAAGAAAGAGAAGAGAAAAGAAAACCAGGAAAGATGGAGTAAGAGTGATAAGACTAAATGTAACTCTAAAGTTGAATTTTTAAAAAAATCTGAAGTCATTCAACATACAGGGCAATGGGCAGTCCTCAGAACTATGCATGGATGTGGATTTCTCCAGAGTCAACAGTCCTAGCCCTGGGAGCTCAGCACTGGGTTCTTGGTTCTATGACATAGACAAGACTTCCAATCCTCCATTTGACTTGAACAAAGCCTCTCATGGTCACGACCAATTTCTAGATCAGCTCCCTCTGCAGAGGTATCTTATCCACCCCAAATCAACACTCAAGTCTCCTGAAGAGCAATGAAATGACAAAGAACAAAGCATTTAGATAAAAAGACTGGGAGCTCTCACTACTCATTCGAGGAGGGCCACCCCCAATCTGCAGGGACCCAGGGACAAAACAAGGTCCCTGTCTGCCAACAAGACAGTGGCAGAACCCGTGGATGTGCAAACATTTGAAATCTTGCCTTGTTCTCTCCCAAATGTTTCCCAATGAAAACCTTCAAATAATTTCAATAACAGGTTTAAAAAATCTACACAGGCCAGGCATGATGGCTCACGCCTGTAATCCCAGCACTTTGGGAGGCTGAGATGGGCGAATCATGAGGTCAAGAGATCGAGATCATCCTGGCCAAAATGGTGAAATCCCGTCTCTATTAAAAATACAAAAATTAGCCAGGCATGGTGGTGGGTGCCTGTAATCCCAGCTACTTGGGAGGCTGAGGCAGGAGGATTGCTTGAATCCAGGGAGTGGAGGTTGCAGTGAGCCGAGATTGCGCCACTGCACTCTAGCCTGGTGACAGAGCGAGACTCCATCTCAAAAAAAAAAAAACAACTACATAATTTTTTTGAAATAATTTATGTTTTTTTGAGACAGGGTCTCACTCTGTGTCACCCAGGCTGGAGTGCAGTGGCGCAATCATGGCTCACTGCAGCCTCAACCTCCTGGGCTCAGGTGATCCTTCCACCTCAGCTTCCCGAGTAGCTGGAACCACAGGCATAGGCCACCACACTTGGGTAATATATATATATATATATATATATATATATATATATATATATATATATATTTTGGTATTTTTTGTAGAGACGAGGTTTCACCATGTTGTCCAGGTTGGTCTCAAACTCCTGGGCTCAAGCAATCCTCGCACCTCAGCCTCCCAAAGTGCTGGGATTACAGAAATAAGCCACCACACCCAGCCTATCTTGAAATAGTTTTAAGTGTATAGAAAAGTTGCAAGAACAGTACTGTTAAATAAAATTTATGGGAGGCCATATGGTTTGGACTGAGCTCCTGTACTAGACCCAATGACCAAACCAAAACAGAGTCCCATATGTTGAAGTGCCATGTCCCCAAGCTGAAACTAAGTTGTTCATCTGACCTTCTGAGAAATCAGGAGTGAGAGAGATAATAGCCAAATCCCCAGACACTTTAGTTGGCATGACAAGGAAGCCTCCCTACTTTAATCTTTACAAGGAAAGTAAGTTTGAAACAACCAATCCACTTTTTGTTCTGTTTCTGCTTTCCTTAGCCCTTTTCTGTCTATAAAGCCAACCTCCTCTGCTCTGCTATATTAGTCTGTTCTCACACTGCTAATAAAGACATACCTGAGACTTGGTAATTTATAAAGAAAAAGAGGTTTAATGGACTCACAGTTCCACATGGCTGAGGAGGCCTCACCATCATGGCGCAAAGTAAAGGAGGAACAAAAGCACATCTTACATGGTGGCAGGCAAGAGAGTGTGTGCAGGGGGAGCTGCCCTTTATAAAACCATCAGATCTCATGAGACTTATTCACTATCACGAGAACAGCATGGGAAAACTCGCCCCCATGATTCAATTACCTCCCACTGGGTCCCTCCCACAACACGTGGGAATTATGGGAGCTACAATTCAAGATAAGATTTGGGTGGGGACACAGCCAAACCATATCATCTGCTTATTGGAGCACTCATTCTATTATATAGAATGAGGAATGAGGTGTAGCTGGATTTTAGAATCATATGTAAAAGCCAGTTAAGATCTTTAAACTAAATTTATTGTAATTTTGTCTTTCAACAGTACACAAAGAACTCTTGAATCCCCTTTTATCATTTTCTGAACCATTTGAGAGCAAGCTGCAATCATAAGATCCAGCACCTCTAAACACTCCAGAATATATTTTTAGATATAACCCTGTAATGGCTGAAAAGTGTTCCCCCCAAATTCACATCCTCCTGAAACCTCAGAATGTGACCTTATTTTGAAATAGGGTCATTACAGATGTAATGAAGGATCTCCAATTGAATCCGTCCAAGGATTAAGGTGGGCCCTGAATCCCATAGACTGGTGTCCTCATAAGAAAAGGTGAGGACAAAGAGAGACACAGAGACACACAGATAGCTATGTGAAGATGGAAGCAGAGGTTGGGGATCTGCTGCCACAAACAAAGGCACCCCAAGTATTGCCAGCAACCACCAGAAGCAAGGAGAAAGGCATGGGACGCTTTCTCCATCAGAGTCTCCGGAAGGAACCAAGCTTACTGACACCTTGATTTTGGACTTCTAGCCCCCAGAACTTCAAGATAATACATTTCTGTTGTTTAAAGCCATGTGGTTTGTGGTAATTTGTTATGACAGTGCTAGAAAACTTATACAAACCCTCCAAGGCAGAAATAAACATGGGCACAACACTGCTACCCAATCCACAGATCCCATTCAAATTTTGCTGGCTCAGCCCATCATGTCTCTTTTCCCTTTCAGGTCCAGGATCCAGTCCAGGAGCATGCATTACATTTAGTTGTCACATGTCCGAATAGAAGGAAGGAGATTCCCTTCAATATGGAATAATTTCTTAGTCTTTCCCTGTCTTCCACATCCTTCCGTTTTTTGTTTTTGTTTTTATTTTGAGACAGTCTCACTCTGTCACCCAGGCTGGAGTACAGTGGGGTGATCATGGCTCACTATAGCCTTGACTTCTCCAGGCTCAGGTGATCCTCCTACCTCAGCCTCCTGAGTATCTGGGACTACAGGCGTGTGCCACCACACTCGGCTAATTTTTGCTTTTTTTTGTAGAACAGAGTTTCAAGTTGCTCAGGCTGGTCTCAAACTCCTGGGCTCAAGTGATCCACCCACCTTGGCCTCCCAAAGTGCTGGGATTACAGGCACGACCCACTGCAACTGGCCCCACATCCTTCAGTTTTTAAGAGTGCAGGCCTTTTGTTATGTAGGATGGCCCTAGACCTGGTTCCATCTAATATTTCATTTTGGTCAGACCTCGCCATGATTTCTTGACAGGAAAATGATGGACAGGATCCTGGGCTCTGCACATTACAGCATATGATGTGGTCTTGTCTCATCACTGGTGATGTTAATCTTGATTGCTTGGTCATGTTGGTGTCTTCCATATTTCTCCTCCATTGAGTCACCATTTTCACCTTTGCAATTGATAAGCATTTTGTGGGGAGATTTTCTAAAATTATGCTAAAATCCTGATCCTTAACAACTTCTACCCATCAGCCTTAATATTTGTGGATGATCCCTATCTGAATAAATTATAACCATAATAGTGTCATATGGTGGTTTGCTATTTTCATCATTCCTTCTACATTAATTACTTGGTATTCTACTGTAAGAAAGAAGTTCCACTGCTTCCTCTATTTATTTACTTATTTATTCATTTATTTAGTAGTATGAATTTCAATTTAACAGGTTAAAAACCATGCTTGTTCTTTGTGAAAGTATATAACGTTATTATCTTTATCAGAGAAGAAATGGTTCTGAACTTCTCAAGAAAGTATACAAGCAGTATAAAAATGAGATAATTACACTTACTTAACATACCTTATTTTCATCCAAATAAACACGAAAAGAATCCAACATGATATTTGAAATTCTACCATAGGGTATTTTACTAGAAAAATAGAATCTTGTGTTTTTGGTAATGTTTGTTCATATCACAAAATTACTGAGAAGCGAAACATTTCTAAATTCACATTAGAACATTGTAATTCACATTTGTGTTAGAATGATGGTTACCAGAGTCTGGGAAGGGTAGTGGAGTAGTAGAATGGGGGATGGTTATTGGATATGAAAATATAGTTAGTTAGAATGAATAAGATCTAGTATTTGATAGCACAACAGGGTAACTACAGTCAACAATAATTTATTGTACATTTAAAAATAACTATAAGACTATAATTAGATTGTAACACAAAGAAAGGATAAATGTTTGAAGTGATAGATACCCCATTTATCCTGATGTGATTATTACACATTGTATGCTTGTATCAAAATATCTCATGTACGCCATACATATATATGCCTACTGTGTACTCACAAAAATTAAAAATTGTAAAAATAAATAAACAAAACAAAACAAAATTGTTTGATATTTCTTTTATAAATTCCCTTTCACAAATCTTTTCATGACTTACACAGAACATCTATGAAAAGCTTGGACTTTCTCACTTGTCCTAAGCATCCCTCTTTTTAAACAATCAGTTATTTTTCTTTAGGATGCAAATTTACGACAAAAGATCCTTTCTCATATAAAATTTCTTTTCTTTATAATCTTCCTTAACAAAAATACCTCTTTACCTTTATAACCTTTGAATTAGAGAAAAGTTATTTTCCTTCTGTTAGGAATTTATGGTTTGTACTGCATGTTGTTGTGTGTGTCCTGTGAAGGGGAAGCAAATGAGGAGGTTATCTACATACTGTAGAAGTTGTTTCCCCTCAAGAGATTGCTCGGTTAGATTTTTGCTAGGGCTCATCCAAATAAGTGTGGGCTATTTTTAAACCCCTGAAGTAGGATGGTACAGGTTGAAGTTATCGGTTAAAGATTTAGGTAGCTTTTTGGGAGAAATAGGGCTATTAGAGAGGAAGGTGAATTCAGAGGTTGGGTACATATTAAGCAGCCACCCATTTTGGAAAGTATATTTTTGTCCTAAAGGGGTGTGAATCTTTTCTTTTAGAGGGAGAGGGTGACATTTGCCCTGTTACCTGATAGGATTTGGAGAAGAGTTGCTTAGAGAAGTAGATTAGCATAGACTAGGCAGCTCTTGAACCCAAAAGGGAAATGTATAATTTTACTTGCTACCTCTACTGTTGCCCTTGGCTTTGTCTTGCTGATGACAATGTCTGACTTGGAAGCCAGCCAGAGCAGAGGTCTCCTTCAGCTCAAGGCCATCAGGGATTGGGATCCAGTCCTTCGGCCGTCAGAGCAGTTCTTTTCCAGTGGCAGAGCTTGTGGCAAAGGGGCAAGCTGTGCCGGGCTTTTTCCCATTTATCTCATTGGGGCAGTTTGCCTTCCAGTGGCCTGGCTTCCCACACCAATGACAGTTACCTGAAGGACTGTCCTTAGGGTAACCTGAAGGGGGCTGGAGAGCTTGTAAAGCAGCCAGTTGTTGAGCCTGTCTCTTGTCCCTGCATTTCCCTTTCTCCTTAGCCCTGTCCTCCTTATTCTGCTTTTAGTTACAAAAGACTGAGGAGGCTGATTTGAGGATTTCCTATATAGGGGCACTAGGTTCTAAGGTTGACTTTTGTAATTTTCTCTCAGTTCGTTTTTAGGCCAAACAGTATTACAAAAGAAAACTAGTTTTTTGTTTTTAGGTTTGAGGAGGATCAAATTTTTCCCAGTTCTTGAGGATACAACCAGGGGGCATGTCCCATGCTATGAAGACATGATTACCCATTTGTGAAGAGAGAACAGAGGAGGAAAAAAAAGGAAAAAGGAAAAAGAAGGCATCCCCTGTTACTTCTCTATCCTGAACAGGGCATCCCCCATTCGTCCTTAGGATTCTGGAATAAACCAGTCTTACCATGTCCCCTTAACCTTCGTCCCATCTCGTCACTATTATCCACTTAAGAACAGAGGAAATAAGGGTGTGAACCAGGCACCCCCTGTCCATCCTTGGGGTTCTGGAATGAACTGGTCTTACTGTGCACCCCTAACCTTGCCTTCATCTCTGTTCTAATGGTAATGTTAACCTGGAACAAGCCTTCATCTCTGTCCTGTGGGTCTCTTGCACCTGCAGGCTTGAGCCAGCCTAGATCCTTTTCTCCATGACCTTATAGTGACTCTTGCCCGGGGCATTCTACAACAAATTGATTATCTCTTTCCTCAAATTTCCATTTCCCATGTTCTTTAAGTAGATGAGAAGCCTGTTTTTCAGCTAACTGCCTCGAGGGAGCTGGACTTCCCTCCCTTTGAATATGACCTTGAAGATCTTGATGCATATTGAGAAGGGCGTGGAAGGATTAGAGAAATGGAGGCTACAGGAAGAAGTGGGAGGAAGCGAGAGGGATGCTCATGGAAAGGCTTTGCTTGCAAAAACAGCAGCCCTTAGATTTGAGAAGGCAATGTTTATTTGCTCTTTTGACATAGAAGAAGTTGTGGAGGACTTGGAGCTTGGTGGTAAGAACTTGCAAATGGCAAAGGAAGAATTTTTCCTCCTGCCAAAGGGATGCTAACTAAAAAAAAGAAAAGAAAAAAAAGAAAACACAAGTAGGTGGGGTCCTTAAAGGGCCACAGAGTGAGGTCCTATGCAGGTGCACAAACTGCTTCAAAAGCCACCAGAAAACTAGGCCCTGGGGCATAACTGGAACAAGAAGTGTACGGTAAAGTCATCGGGAGCGGTCAGACCTGGGGTTCCGATCAGTGTCCATCCCAGCAATGTGCCAACAGACAGGGGAAAAGTTGGAGGTCATCCAAGCTGGTGGGGTAAAAAAGTACAAATCTCCACAAGGGACATCCACAAGGGAGCCTGTGGCTTTGCTGCCGAGCGAATGCAGCAAGAGCCGCGGATGCATGAATAAGAGGGCGTGTGTCCATGTGGGGCAGAGAAGGAAGTTATGCAGTATGCAAAGTGGAAACAGGGAAAAGGCAGACTTGCCCCGGAGGCAGAGAGTCTGGAGGGTGCGCAAGGCCATTTCAAAACACACACAGAGAAAACACAACAGGCAGCACAGGCTTTTGGGAAAGAGCTGATTTTAGTTGAAAAAGCAGAGGAAATCCCAGACACTGCACGGTCCTAGGCTTTAGCCCTACCGCTCTCCCCAGCCTCCTGTGCAGGAGGGCCATTAGCATCTCAGGTCTACTTGGTGCAGACTCCAGGGTCCTCCTCCCCTCCACGAGCCACCTGTCAGGGTGAGCTGAGAGATCAGCCGGGGGGAAGCAGAGCCACTGTGGCTGAGAGGAATCATTCTGGGGGTTGGTTAGTAAGCAGGAGAGCAAGAGGGCGAAGAAAACTGCATTTAGGGGTTGAACACCTCCAGCCAAAGAAGGCAAGGCATAGAGGCGTCTTACCACTAGGGAACATATCCAAGTCACAGCACCAAAGTATGTCAGCAGCAGCAAATCCGCATGGGTCTGGAGCAACCTCAATTCTTGCTTCCTTGATTTCCTTAGAAGAAAGAATTCAACTGAGGGACATAAGGCAGAGAGAGAGAGCGCTCAAGGCAAGTTTTAGAGCAGGAGTAAACGTTAATTAAAATTAAAAAGTTTTAAAGCAGGAACAAAAGGAAATAAAGTATGCTTGGAAGAGGGCCAAGCAGGCAACTAGAGAGATGTGAGTGCACAGTGTAACCTTTGACTTGGGTTTTTTATGCTGGCATGCTTCCGACGGGGGCTGCATCCCTTCTCCCCTGATTCTCCCCTTGGCGTGGGCTGTCTGCATGCACAGTGGCCTGCCAGCACCTGGGAGGGCCGCGTGCACAGTGTTTACTGACGTTGTGTGCATGCTCACTTGAGGAGCTCTTCCCTTACCAATCGAGTGTTCCTAGAAGAAGGTCACATACCAGTTAAACCCCACCACCTGCCTCTCAGTGCACAAGCTTGAGCTCACCCACTCAACTCCTGAGATCTTACTGGGAAGCTGCTGGTCACCAGTTTCAGGTTTTTTCTGTCTCTTGGGAGACTGCCTTTCCCTGGTGAGCCGGCTGTGACCAGTTGTTATCTTAGAGAGACAGTGTGACAACTGCCTGACCATCACCTGATGGTGGCCTGACATTCCAGGTCATGGGGCCATGGTGGGGGCGTGCCCTCTCCATCCTGCTTATGTCAGACTTACTGCCTCCCGTAACACACCACTCCCAGCTCAGTCCACATCATCCTTGAGGAATGTCTTCCCTTTCTAGTACCAGCAGATATTCTAGGCTCACCTAGTTCCTGCACCATCCCAGGAATCAGCTATTTCCTGGTTCCTTTCAGTGCAGAATGACATTTAGAAACCAAGATAGATAGATGCTCCACGTGCTCATTGCTGCTGGGATGATATTGCTTCTAGGCTTGCTTGGCTGGTAGAGCTAGGATTTGTTTGTATGTATGCATATATATATACACACACACACATATATATATGCACACACACACACATATATATACACACACACATATATATACACACACCTCTCTCTCTATATATATATACACACATATAGTTATATCTGTATAGATATATTTATATTTTTGTGTTTATGTTTTTTTGAATTATGAGTTCATAATGTACTTTCAATTACAATTCAATACCCCAAGGTTATTTCCATTCTTCCCCCTTCTCTTCTGGCCACTGCTCCAACCTAGCCCCCATTGTCCTCTCTACATTTACCTGTTCAATTTACTTATTTGCTCCATGGAACCGTGCAGCACTGCCTCCATGGGACACCTCCCACCACCTCTGTGCAGCTCAGACCTGGCCACACTGACACCTCTCAGAAGGGAACAGAGGGGAAGAAAAACCTCAGAAGTAGTTTAGAAGAGAAGCATGGAAAAGATAGTGTAAAGTCGGCTTCACTCTCTTGGAAGCTGATTGCAGGATGTGAACTTTGATTTTGTAGCACATACTTTGCCTTTAATGGAAGAATGAAGTTGAAGACGTTACACGATATTCAGTCAGAAGAAGAGAGGCCTGTATTTCCCCTGGTTCCACTAGAATAGCCACAATTGAGTAAAACCAAATAGAAAAAGGCAGTGGACTGGAATGGGAAGAAATAAGGAGAATGCAAAGTAAATCATATGGAAATAAAATGAAAATTTTAAAATGAGGCAGATGTGGGGGAAGTCAAGGGTCAGAGTGGCAGAGCAAAGAATCTGAGCCTGGCTTTTCAGAAAGTCCTTAAGGCATGATTCCTTCCCAGTGCCACCTCCTAACCATTTGACCTTGTGGCAAGTTTCCTTCCCCACCTTAAATCTGACTTTTAAGTGGCCACACCTCCTCCAGGGCCCAGACTTTCCTTTTCCCAGTAGGCATCTCCTGCCTTGGCCCTATCCACTTCCTGGCCCCTCCCTTCAGACCCAGACCCAACCCTTTTTTTGTTTATCCTCAGCGCTCCCCCTGCTTTATTTAACCCTTTGGGTTTCCTCTCCCTAGACTTTTATTTTATTTTGATGTTTATTTTTATGTTTATTTTTATTTGAGATGGAGTCTCGCTCTGTGGCCCAGGCTGGAGGGCAGTGGTGCGATCTTGGCTCACTGCAAACTCCGCCTCTCGGGTTCAAGCAATTCTCCTGCCTCAGCCTCCTGAGTAGTTGGGATTACAGGTGCCCACCAACATGCCCAGCTAATTTTTGTACTTTTAATAGAGACGGGGTTTCACCATGTTGGTCAGGCTGGTCTCGAACTCCTGACCTCAGGCGATCCACCGGCCTCGGCCTCCCAAAGTGCTGGGATTACAGGCAGGAGCCACCGCGCCTGGCCTCCCTAGACTTTTATGAAGTGGAACTCTGCCCAGTGCTGTAGGAAGCAACGGGAATCTGCAGTCAGGCAAGCCTGGGATTTTAAATCCTAGTTTTCTACTTTCTAGCTGTGTGTCCTTGGGCAGATTATTCTTTGAGCATCTATTTCATCCCCTTTAACACACGCGTAACAAGGTAAACCTCACAGGGTTGCAGCAAGTGTCAAGTCAGTGAGCGAAGAAGCTCTTCCTTTCCTATGAAAGTCAGGATGACCGATCTTGGGCTGCTTTTAAATTCCCATTCCTCCAGAAGCAAAGGTCCAGTGCAGATTTGGCAAAGACTCCGAGAAATGACCTTGTTTTTCTATACTGAGAAACTTTCTTAGGAAAACAGTAGATATTAGGGAGAAGGTGAAGCCAAGGGCAAGAGAAAATGCAGCATAAACTTCCCATGACTGAGTGAGCTGCAGAAAACTGATAAGGAATATAGTTTACCCCTTTTTTGAAAGAAGAAACAAATAACTTCGTATTACAGGAATTCCATACTTCAGTGTGTAATTAAGTGGATTCTGGCAGAAAGAATCTGGGATTCTGGAGTCTAATCCTTATTCTGAAAACCGCTTCATTTCAATTTCTAGTTTTCCTTGCTTGTTAATGCCTAGGTTGTGTTGTAAATCACAGGATCTTTAGGGAAAATAAAAAAGTACTGGAAAAACCTGGGCAGGCTAACAGGGCAGGCTCTGACTGCCATTGTCACCTGTGACACCCTGTCTCTAGTCTGGGAACACATTCTCTCTCTCTCTTTTTTTTTTTTTTTGAGATGGAGTCTCGCTGTCGCCCAGGCTGGAGTGCAGTGGCACAATCTCAGCTCACTGCAACCTCCACTTCCCGGGTTCAAGCAATTCTCCAGCCTCAGCCTCCTGAGTAGCTGGGACTACAGGTGCCCAACACCACGCCCGGCTAATTTTTGTATTTTTGGTAGAGACGGGGTTTCACCATGTTGGCCAGTCTGGTCTTGAATTTTTGGCCTCAGGTGATCTGCCCACCTCAGCCTCCCAAAGTGCTGGGAGTACAGGTGTGAGCCACCGTGCTAGGGACACATTCTCTTTCCTGTGTGGTGGTTTTCACTTGAAGCAAGAACCAGTTATCCCCCTTCTCCTGAGAAATGACAAGCCTGTATTTTGGCAAATATGTTGGTTTGCAAATCTGTTGCAAAACAGATTTCGGTGGTGGTGGTGGTGGGGTGGGCGCTCCCCAGCCCATCCTGGGAGGTTTTATTACAAAAATAACTAATTCAAGGACCTCCTTGTGGCTGGGCGCGCTGGCTCACGCCTGTAATCTCAGCACTTTGGGAGGCTGAGGCGGGCGGATCACGATGTCAGGAGATGGAGACCATCCTGGCTAACACGGTGAAAACACGTCTCTACTAAAAATACAAAAAATTAGCCAGGCGTGGTGGCGGGCGCCTGTAGTCCCAGCTACTCGGGAGGCTGAGGCAGGAGAATGGCGTGAACCCGGGAGGCGGAGCTTGCAGTGAGCCGAGGTCGCGCCCCTGCACTCCAGCCTGGGCCACAGAGCAAGACTCCGTCTCAAAAAGAAAAAAAAAAAAAAAAGAACCTCCTTGTAAGTCAGCCTCTCCCAAAGGAGGACATGGAGGGCCAGGCTAGTCCTAGAGTCTCTAGCAGGGCCACTTCCCTGAAGTTTTGTTCCTTGCTGGCTTAGCCCAAATAAACAGACCACTCTTCCTGTAGCGCTAAAAAGTCACTCGATGGCTTTCTGTTTCAGATTTGGTTTCAGAAGGGTTTTGTCAGCTTTCTGTAAACTGCGTCTGTAATTGAGGCCGGCCGCCTCCAGGTGGCACCAGTGTGCCGTCCCACGCTGAGTCTGCTCTGAGAATCAAGACGTTTCACTACCGCCCAATTCATTTGAGGAACTACTGCCAAGATGCATCTTCCTAACGATTTCTCTGCCCAGAGCCCTTCAGAGGCTTCCTGTTGTCTGCTAGATAAAGCCAAGCTATCAGTGCTCTCAGCCTGAGAGCAAGCTGAGATGCAGTCTTGTCTGAGTCTGCAGGGTGGTGGGAGAAGAGGCATGGGGCTTTTTGGTTGCAGTAGAGGGAGGAGATTGTTTGAGAAATGGGGGGAAAGAACTGAAACAACCAAAACAATGAGAGTGAAAAGGAACCACGACACCAGTGTCATGGACTTGTGTCTCTGCAGAGAAGCAGGGCATGTCGAAACTGCAAGCTTTTCGTTTCTCTCTCTCTCTCTCTCTCTGTCTCCTTTTTTGGAGTCTCGCTCTTGTTGCCCAGGCTGGAGTGCAGTGGTGCGAGCTCACCTCAATGCAACCTCCGCCTCCCGGCTTCAAACAATTCTCCTGCCTCAGCCTCCCGAGTAGCTGGGATTATAGGCGCCCGCCACCATGCCCGGCTAATTTTGTATTTTTAGCAGAGACAGGGTTTCACCATGTTGGTCAGGCTGGTCTCGAACTCCTGACCTCAGGTGATCCACCCGCCTCGGCCTCCCAAAGTTCTGGGATTACAGGTGTGAGCCACCACGCCCAGCCTAAAACTGCAAGCTTTTCACACAAGACCCAGGACTTACATTTTTTAGTGCTCACTAACACAAGTAATAAAATGTGACACAGAGGGAGGGAGGGAGGAGAGGGGCTTTCTCCTCTACCTTTACAAGAAACACAGTGAAACCGCTTTGCAAAAATTAGGTCAGTGAGAGAACTATGGCAGTGAGGGAGATCTGATCTAGCCAACCCTCATCTTGCCTTTAGCCTTCAAGTTGCCATTAATTGTTAATATTTCTGGGTGTAGGCCAAGCTAACTTTGAGAGTTAAATGATAATAGCCCTTTCCCCAAAGTCAGCTGCTTTTGTAAAAGTAATGAGAGACCACCAGGCTAGCAGGGTAGAGGAGCCTGAATTCTGCTAAGGTGTAGACATAAATGATTGCCAACCATTATTCTGCAGGTCATAAGATTTGCAACCTCCCAGATTACTCCTGCAGATAATATCACCGTTATAGAGCCTAAGATTGGCCTTTGGGATATCTTTTCAGTCTTTTTTTTTGATGTCTGACACTCATGCCTCCACCTAGACCCACTGACCCCTCCTGTGGCCCCACCCACAAAGGACTCAGGCACAGGAGGACCATTTCCCACACCCCTATGATTGCACCCCCAGCCAATCAGCAGCAAGCACCCATTGCCCAGACACCTCCATCCCTTCTCCCAAACTACCCTTCAAAAACTCCTAACCTCTGAGCCTTCAGTGAGGTCGATTTGAGTGATAACTCCATCTCCCATGTGGCATGACTGACCTCGAGTCAATTAAACTCTTTTTATTTTTTTGAGACGGAGTGTTGCTGTGTCACCAGGCTGGAGTGCAGTGGGGCGATCTCAGCTCACTGCAACCTCCACTTCCAAACAATTACTCTATCTCAGCCTCCCGAGCAGCTGGAACTACAGGTGCGCACCACCACACCTGGCTAATTTTTGTATTTTAGTAGAGACTTGGTTTCACCATGTTGGCCAAGATGGTCTCGATCTCCTGACCTTGTGATCTGCAATGCTGTGGTCTCTGTGAATGGATTTTGTTTGTGTAGTGGGCAGGAAGCACCCATCGGGTGGTTATAACAGCATGACTCTAGGCTTGCCACACAGCTGTGACGGTGGCACACAGCAGCCCTCAAATGGCTTCACAAGCAAAAAACAACAGAGGGGCCCAGGGCCAAGGAACGTGAGAGAACTCTTTATGAGCTTAAACGACAAAACCCAAGATCCCCGAAACACTTGGAGAGGATTTTGCAAAGTTAGATCTCCTCTATCAAGGATGTTGGGATAAGAGTCAATGAAATAGAATTTTGGTGGCTGCTGGGGGCCCATCAGCACCTACTAGCTGGAGAGCCAGAGTGGCATGTATTTCATCTTCCCGGGAGGTTTTATTACTGACATTACTCCAGAACCTCCTTATAAATTGGCCTCTCCTGGACACTTGCTCTTTTAGGATTAAAAAACAACTTTGTTATTATTCTCTTTCTACCACTGCCTTCAAATAAAGCTATTTTTCTCCATTCCTGGACAATCTCTTGGACGAGGGCTACAACTCAGTCAGGCACAAAAGTACCAAGCTTTTGAATATTGGAATCGCCTCACTTTTCAATCTAAGGACAGAGCTTCAGTCTTTCAGCCAGTTCATTGCTGCTTTTGCAGCCGTATCTTCTATCACTTTTTTTATTTTTATTTTTTCAAGTGAACACTTAATTTTCCATCCATTTCTTTTCTTCTTTCTCTCTCTCTCTTTTTTAAAATTAATTAATTAATTAATTTTTTTTGAGGCAGTCTCACTCTGTCACCCAGGATGGAGTACAGTGGTGCAATCTCAGCTCACTGCAACCTCCACCTCCTGGGTTCAAGCGATTCTCATGCCTTAGCATCCTGAAGAGCTGGGATCACAGAAACATGCCACTGCACCCGGCTAACTTTTGTATTATTATTATCATTATTATTATTATTATTTTGGTAGAGGCAGGGTTTCATCACGTTAGCCAGGCTGGTCTCGAACTCCTGACCTCAAGTGATCCACCCACCTTGGCCTCCCAAAGTGCTGAGATTACAAGCATGAGCCACCGTGCACGGCCTCCATCCACTTCTGAGAGTGACATTGCAGTGTTTGAGCCAAGATTCCAGTCTTTGGGCCTACATATACTATCTTCCCCTTCCTGCTCCCAGTCCTCAGAGTTTCCTGTTTGCTTTTTATTTCTTTTCTTTTCTTTTTTTTTGTCTCAAGATCTGTTTGTGGACTCCAGAGCTTCCTTGTTTCATTGGGAGGCCGTGTGGTAAGACGTGAAGACACAGGATGGGCATGTTGCTGATCTGGCGATTCCCTGCTAGCCCTGTGTCTTATCTGCTGTGTGACTGAACAAATCACATGTCCTCCACGATCTTGGCTCCTTTACCTAAGGAAGGGGAATAATGCTGTCTCTTCCACGGCTGTGAGATTAAATGACACAGAACAGGTGACTGCGTGATGCAAACTTCATGTGACTATTCGGATATTAGGAATATCCTAATATCCTTTTTTTCCTTGCCATTTTGTTCTCACTCTCATTAATGACCAGAGGAAAAGGAACTATGGAAAGAGCCTTGAGGAGTGTGGGAAAATGGGGCAAGCATTTGTATTTTTATCTCTCTGACTTTTCCTGGGATTTATGGGATTTCTCACATCCCCACCGGCAACGTGGGGGCGGTTTGCTTTCTGTAGAATGGAGGTGGCTTGAGAGAGTGACTGCTTGTGACCAGTGACTAACCAGCCTCAGTCATTGCAGCAGTCCCCAGCACAGAAGAGGAGCTCCACATATCCTTGTTGAGTGATGCGGTTTGTGATATAATAATACTGACTATAACTTTGGGAGGCTGAGGCGGGCGGATTGCCTGAGCTCAGGAGTTCGAGACCAGCCTGGGCAACATGGTGAAACCCCGTCTCTACTAAAAAAAAAAAAAAAAAAATTAGCTGAGTGTGGTGGCACATGCCTGTAGCCCCAGCTACTCAGGAGGCTGAGGCAGGAGAATTGCTTGAACCTCGGAGGCAGAGGTTGCAGTGAGCTGAGATCGCACCATTGCGCTCCAGCCTCGGGACAGAGCGAGACTCCGTCTCCAAAATAATAATAATAATAATAATAATAATAATAATATTGACTATATTGATTATGCTATTTCCATCCCCATTTCTCACTCCCCTCCCTCCATCTGAGATTTGTTGCTGTGGGTTTCATTCAAAACATTTGTTGAGCCCTGATTCTATGCTGGATTCTAATACAGAAAGCGAGGAGAGGGCAGATAGAAAGATGAAGAGGCCAGGCCCGGTGCCTCACGCCTGTAATCCCAGCAGTTTGGGAAGCCGAGGCGGGCGGATCACTTGAGCTCAGGAGTTCAAGACCAGCCTGAGTAACATGACAAACACCTGTCTCTACAAACAAACACAGAAATTAGCTGGTGTGGTGCACCTGTAGTCCCGGCTACTTGGGAGGCTGAGGAGGGAAGACTGCTTGAGCCCGGGAGGCAGAGGTTGCTGTGAGCAGTGATCGCGCCCCTGCACTCCAGCCTGGACAAAAGACAAAGACCCTGTCTCTAAAACGAAAACAAAAAATAAAAAGAAAGATGAATAAGAAAACACTTCTCCTTTTAAAGTTTGAAGTCCTAAAGGAGAGAAAGAATACAAATATAAATAAATATTACTCTTCTCTTTGCTTTCTCCAGATGAGAAAGTATGACAAGTGTCTTCGTGCTTAGGAAACACAAACCCCCAATGCATTTACAAACCATATTATGTACAAAAATGTAGATTAAAAACATTTTTAAACCCTTCTTTTGAAAGCACTCAGCTTTGCCTTTTTATTTTTCCTCTTAAGCTATCTAATCAAGCCCTGCTTGCGACAGGTTTCTAGTTTCTGGACATCCGTCATCTCTAACAATGACATCAGCTGTAACCCTCTCATAGTCTCATCCTGAAGATTAACTTGCAGTCAAGATTCCTCAAAGTTTAAACAGCCATCTAACTCGAAATGGGAATTATGAACAGCCAATTACACTGGCTTCCCTGAGGGATCTAGCCTCCTGTGATGAATAGATTCTCCTCTTCAACTGTAAAGTTTGAATGGGTAGAACCTTTCAGCTGAAGACAGAACCAATTGTGTATGTTAAATGTAAATTCGGGCACTTGTACATGCAAATTCATAATGGGCAAGAAATTGACTGGAAGGAAAGAAGCCGGCCTGTATAATAGGTGGGAGATGTGAAGCATGAACAAGCTAGAGAAATGTCAAGGAGGGGGCCGTGGGTTTAGAAGAGAAATATTAACAAGTGAAGCAGTTTGAATATTTTGGAAAGAGAGCAATTCAAAAGATGTCATGGGGTTTAGGGAGGCCCAAGAGCATCTAGTCAGGATGCAATCAGGGGCCTGAGCACAGAGAAGGGCTGGGGATAACCTGGCTTTGGAAGCCTGGGTTCTAGTCCTGCCTCTGCTAAATGACATTGAGAGTCACGACAGCTCTGCAGATCCCAGTGTCCTCAGGTGCCAACCAGAGGGTTAGACCAGACCCGTGGTTCTCAGCCATCGCTACATATTAGAATCACCTGGGGGCTTTTAAAAAGAAGTTTAGTTTAATTTAATTTAACTTGAAAAATTGACATATAGGCCAGGCGCGGTGGCTCACACCTGTAATCCCAGCATTTTGGGAGGCCGAGGCGGGCGGATCACCTAAGTTCGGGAGTTCAAGACCAGCCTGACCAACATGAAGAAACCTCGTCTCTACTAAAAATACAAAATTAGCCGGGTGTGGTGGAGCATGCCTGTAATCCCAGCTACTGGCGAGGCTGAGGCAGGAGAATCGCTTGAAACTGGGAGGCGGAGGTTGTGGTGAGCTGAGATTGCGCCATTGCACTCCAGCCTGGGCAACAAGAGTGAAACTCTGTCTCAAAAAAAAAAAAAAAAATTGACATACAATAATTGTACATACTCGTTGGGCACATAGTATTGTTTCTATATATATCTAAAACATATAGTGATCAGATCGGGGTAATTAGCTCACCCATCATCTGAAACATTTATCATTCTTTTGTGTTGGGAACATTGAATATCTTCCTTCTATGGCTGGGTGCAATGGCTCATGCCTGTAACCCAGCACTTTGGGAGGTTGAGGCAGGACGATGGCTTGAGACCAGGAGTTTGAGACCAGCCTGGGCAAGATAGTGAGACACCATTTCTACAACAACAGAAAATCTTCCTTCTAGCTATTTGAAACTAGATAGTATATTGCTGTTAACTACAGTCATCCTATAGTGGTATAGAACACTGGAACTTAGTCCTATCTAGCTGTGATTTTGTATCCCTTAACAAATCTTTCCCTGTCAGCTGGGGAGTTTTAAAAACCCAATGATACCTGGGCTTCAACCCCCAGACATCCTGATTTAATTGGGGTGGGGCGGAGCAAAGTCATCAATGTATTTTGACGACTTTACTGAACTATAATTCACATGCCATAAAATTCACTCTTTGAGCCGGGTGTGGTGGTTCACACCTGTAATTCCAGCACTTTGAGAGGCTGGGGCAGGAGGATCACCTGAGCCCAGGAGTTTGAGACCAGGCTGGGCAACAGAGTGAGGCTCCATCTCTACAGAAAATTAAAAAATTAGCTGGGTGTTGTGGTATGCGCCTGTAGTCCCAGCCTCTCAGGAGGCTGAGATGGGAAGATCTCTTGAGCCCAGGAGGTCGAGGCTGAAATGAGCTATGATCATGCAACTGCATTTCGGCCTGGGTAACAGAGCAAGGCTCTGAAAAAAAAAAAAATCCACTCTTTGAAAGTGTATAGTTCGATGGGTTTTTAGTTATTTACAATGTTGTGCAACCATCACATCTATGTAATTTTAGAACATCTTCATCACCCCCAAAAGAAACCAAGGTACCTGTTAGCAGTCGCTTCCTATTTACTTCCCCACCAAGCCCTAGGCAACTACTAATCTACTTTGTCTTCATAGATTTGCCCATTCTGGATCTTTCATTTAAATGGGATTGTACAACGCAGTTTTCGGTGACTGGCTTCTTTCTCTTGGCGTAATTGTTTTGAGTTTCACTCATGTTGTAGCACATGTTAGTCCAGTTGACTCTTGAACAATCAGGGTTTGAAATAAGTGAAAGCGTGCATACAAGGATTTTTTTCAATACACGTTACACCGAGAGTGCCTGCCTCTCCTGCCTCCCCCTTCCACTCCTTCCCATCTTCTGCCTCTGCCTCCCCTGAGACAGCAAGACCAGCCCCTCCTCCTCCTCAGCCTACTCAACATGAAAAGGATGAGGAGGAAGACCTTTATGATGACCCACTTCCTCTTAATCAATAGGAAATATATTTGCTGTCCCTTGTGATTCTCTTAATAACATTTTCTATTCTCTAGCTTACATTATTGTAAAAATACAGTATATGATACATACAACATACTAAACATGTATTAATTGACTATGTTATTGGCAAGACTTCCATTCAACAGTAGGCTATTAGTAGTTAAGTTTTGGAGGAATCCAAAGATACACATAGATTTTTGACTGTGCAGGGGTCAGTGACGCTAACCCTTGCATTGTTCAAGGCCAACTGTACTTCATTCCTTTTTATGGCCAAATAATATTTTCTTCTATGGATATACTATATTTTAAGCATGGATGGTTTTAAAGGATTCCAGAAAGTTCTAATGTGTATCCATGATTAAATCATTATGACCCTGCTGGGCTGTGTAGCACATATGGCTGAGACAGGATAGAGTCAATAAGAGCCTCTGGTGAAGACAGTCTCCAACAATACTGTGTACGTGTCTTGATTTACTGGCAGGAAAAAAGTTTGCACCTGTAGTTGGCACCCCCCTGTTTTGTAGTTCAGTTGCTGCCACCCTCAGAGGAGCTGGTGGGTGCTGGGCTGCAGGTGACACATGAAAGAAGGGACGCAGAGAGGCAGAGGCACCAGCGGGCCAGAGCCCCAGGCGGGAGGGATCCCGGTCGCTCTCTGGTGAGGGGGCCATGAGGTCCCAGGAAAGTCCTGGGAACATTACTTTGGGTAGAGCAGAAAGAGGCCAGAAAGTTGCTTCTAAAACCTGAAAATGATTCCATGGAGTTGGAGAAGCGCCCTTGCGGTGTAAAGGTTGGATGTAGCTGTGAAGACATCAGAAAGCGTCTGCTGGTGTGAGGACGTGCTGGTGGCGTCTGGCCCTTTCTTCCCTGGGCTGCTTGCTGCTGTGCCCGGTTCCTGTCCCCACGCCTTTGTTTGGCCCTTTGTCCCACTGTCCACTCACTGGAAGACCCCAACAGGATTCTTACCAAATAGATGAGTTGATGCCAACCCACCGAAATTACCATTCGCTGGGTAGGAAAAGATGGTCACACCTGTTCTCATCCCATTCAGTGTCTTTATTGCACTCAGGAGTAGTTCAGCAGCTGTTCAGACCATTAATGGGAAGTGGGCTAATACTTCTGTCCCTGCTTTTTTTTTTTTAAACTTGGGAGGAAACAGAGTGATTTCTTAACATGATCACAAAGCAAGATAAAGGCAGATGAAGGCACAGAACTCACAAATGCAGTCATGAAGAGACCTCCCATATTCTGGGGTAACAGGAAGGGGCCCTGTTTTCCCCACCATGCCCACCAAACTCCTCCCCATTCAGCAGCCCCAGCGAGCTTTATAAAATAAAAATCAGAGAATGCCCCTCCTTCTCCTCCACTTGAGACCCCCCAGTGGCTTTCCTACACTTAGGATGAAATCTAAAATACCAGCCTGGTGCAGTGGCTCACACCTGTAACCCCAGCACTTTGGGAGGCTGAGGTGGGCAGATCACCTGAGGTCAGAAGTTCGAAACCTGCCTAGCCAACATGGAGAAACCCTGCCTCTACTGAAAAAACAAAAACAAAACCAAAAATTAGCTAGGTGTGATGGTGTGCACCTGTAATCCCAGCTACTAGGGAGGCTGAGGCAGGATGATCGCTTGAACCCGGGAGGCAGAGGTTGCAGTGAGCCGAGATGGTGCCCCTGCACTCCAGCCTGGGTGACAGAGCAAGACTCTGTCTCAAAAAAAAAAAAAAGAAAGAAAAAAAAGAAATATAAAATCCCTACCCTTGAGGAAAAGCCTCACAGACGCGAGGCTGTGCCCCAGTCAGTTCTACCCACACGAATTGCCCCTCTCTCCATAAAGCACATCCAGCCTTTCCTACTTCAGGGCCGTGGCACTTGATTCTTGGTTTTCTTTCTCTTTCTCCATCCAACATATTCATCACCTGCCTCAGCTTTGATGTTGTTTCCTCAAAGACACCTTCTTTCCTCCCTACCCACTGTCGAAATGAGGGGCCACTCTTTCGCCCACAGTATTCTTTGATGATCTCATACAGTTCATTACTCTTTGAAATTCTGTGGTCATTGTTTCTTTAACATCCGTCCCTCCACTAGACCCTAAGCTATATGTTGAGTTTATTCCTACTTTATTCCCCCGAACAGTGCCTGGCTGCAATTAGGCATTGAGCAATGCCTGCTGAGGAAGGGTTGGGTGCATGGATTTACAGAGGGATTCTGGAATTCCAGAGTGCTGGGGGTGGGGGTACTATTAGGGGCTGCAGTCATCAGGGAAAGTGGGAGAGCTATGGGAAGATTATAAGGAAAGGAGGGGAGTCAGGCCTGGAGCGGGGTTAGCTACCCACAGTGTATAGAAACAGGAGGACAAAATTGAGGGAATGTTTACTTCCAGGAAAGACATGGCCAGACGCCAAACAAGTCATCAAGAAAACAGATTCAAGATACAGGTGATTGGCTGGGCATGGTGGCTCATGTCTGTAATCTCAGTGCTTTGGGACACGGAGGCGGTAGGATAGCTTGAGGCCAGGAGTTTGAGATCAGCCCGGGTAACATGGCAAGACCCCATCTCCAATTACATATATGTAATCTGAGCATGGTGGCTTGCCTATAGTCCTAGTTACTCGGGAGGCTGAGGAGGGAGGATTGTAAAAAGGCAAGACTCTGTCCCAGAGACCTCAGTCTCTCCATGGGCATAGGTTAGGAGAGAGTTGAGTGTAAAGAAGCTCTTTCCAGGGTGTTCATGTAGCCTTTCCCCACATACTTTCATGCACTGCCTCCCCCTCTTTATTCTTCTCCCAGGCACAGAATCAAATTGATCGCAATTATTAATTCATAGCATGCTATTATCGTTGTCCCCACAAGGCTCCTCTTCTATTGTCAAGTAAATTGTTATGTCACCCTTTGTATCCCAGCTCCAATCCCATTGTCCTTCCGGTTCCCAGGCATACCCAGACTTATATACTTAATGCGTGCATCTCCCTCCAATCCACCTCCCACCACACAGATATATGTATATATCCTCCATAATATACAGTATTTTTGTATAGGTATACATATGTGCTTTTTTTTTTTTTTTTGAGACAGAGTCTCATTCTGTTGCCCAGACTGGAGTGCAGTGGTACAACTGATCAATGTTCACTGCAGCCTGGACCTCCCAGGCTCAAGTGATCCTCCCACCGCAGCCTCCTGAGTAGCTTGGGACCATAGGCACATGCCACCATGCATAGCTAATTTTTTGTACTTTTGGTAAAGACAGGGTTTAGCTATGTTGTTCAGGCTGGTCTCAAACTCCTGAGATCAAAGTGCTGGGATGACAGGCATGAGCCACTGTGCACAGCTGTATATTGTTTAAAAAGTCTTATACATGTTATTATGCTAAAAATATTCTGTTTCTTACATTTTTGTCTTAACATTTATAGTTTTGAGATTTATACATGTGTGTACAGTCTAAGTGATTTCTTCTATCACAAAGCATTTAGCCAAATGTATATAGCTTATTTTGCTTGTCCGTTTTCCTAGTATGGCCCCTAGATTACCTCCAACTCTGCAGTATATACAGCTCTGTGTGATCCTTTTGTGTATATCTCTTTGTGACCTTGTGTGACAATTTCTCCAGGATATATACCAAGCATGGTTTCCCTGGGTCCTGGGGAATACCTATAGAAAATTCTCTTCCAAATGGCTTCACCAGCTAATATTTCAACCAACAATGCTCAAAGGTTCACATTTCCCCATGTCTTTGCCACCACTTGATATTGTCCAACTTTCTAATTTTTGCCAGCTTGATATGTGTAAGGTGGTATTTTGTTAATTCAGTAGGATTTTTCAAAACCTGAGTGTCTGTAGCCATCTTTGCTGGGACTGAAGAGAACGTCATTACTGTATCAAATGTGGTGTGAACTACATTTCTATGAGTCTTATAGCCTTTTCCCCCCCTAATTTGAAGAGTAGTTTGTAAGTATATAATAAAAGTACCTGCCTCATAGAGTTGTTGTAAGGGTGAGCTAAGGGTCTGGTTCATAGTATGTGCTCAGTAAAAGTAAATCACTATTATTATTATTGTTATTGTCATCATTACTGTGAATAGAAAGTAATTAGCATGGTGTTTGGTACATGGCATTCCACTGGAGTGTAAGTTCCACAAGAAAAGGGAGTTTGTGTCTTTCTTGATCATGGAACAGTGTTTGGCCCATAGTAGGTGCTCAGTAAGAATTTGTTGAATAAATGCGTAATAACTGGAAGTGGCTATAATGATGGCAATGATGCATATAAAGCTAAGGGCTCCATAAATGTTAGCTAATAAATGTTAGCTCTTATTATAATTAACTCATGTCATGGGGGCCCCCAAAGGAAGGAGCTAGGCCAGTGGTTCTCAAAATTGATTGTAGTTTGGAATCACCTACCCTTTGGAATAATGATGTTAAAAATAACCAACAGCTGGTCAGTCTTCCCACACACAACCCACCTTTTATCTTTCACCACAAAATACTAATTCATTTACAAAGGAAAAGGGGCAACTTTACAGTGGAGAAGCCTGGCACACATCATCTTAATCAAGTGATCAAAGTGAATTTTAGCAATCATGGGACAAATGAAAATTGTTAGCCACCCTGTTGGATGCAATGAGAGCATAACATCATTTCTGTGATATTCTTGCCAAAAGAGGAGTAAACAAAATCTCCCTGTGAGGAAATGTTAGACAAACCCAAATTGAGGAACATCCTGCAAAATAATCTTCAAGTGTGTCAAGGTCATGAAAGTCAAGGAAAGACTGAAGAACTCTCCCCAAATGAAAGTGACTAAAAGGGCCAGGTGCAGTGACTCACGCCTATAATCCCAACACTTAGGGAGGCCAAGGCAGGAGGATAGCCTGAGGTCAGGAGTTCAGGACCAGCCTGGGAAACAAAGTGAGACCCTGTCTTTACAAAAATTAAAAAACAAATTAGCCAAGTGTGGTAGTGTGTGTCTGTAAACCCAGCAACTCGGGAGACTGAGGAGGGAGGATCATTTGATCCCAAGAGTTAGAGGCTGCAGTGAGCCGTGATTGTGCCACTGCACTCCAGCCTGGGCAACAGAGCAAGACACTATCTCTAAAAAATAAAATAAAATGAAAGAGATTAACGGCACCTGATCAATAACTGCAACTCGAGATTCTGGACTGTACCCTTTTGCTATAAAGAATGTTATTAGGACAGCTGGGGAAACGTGGATGGAATCTGAGGGTTAGTTAGTAGAGATGTAACAATGTTAATTTACTGATTTTGCTGCTTATATTGAGGCTGTATAGGAGAACATCCTTGTTTGTAGAAAACAGACACTAGAACGTGCAAGGAAGATGATGGATTAGCTTGGCGAATCACTCTTGATTGGTTCAGGAGAAGTTTTTTGTATTGTACCTGCAACTTTTTTTGTAAATCTGTGATCATTTGAAAATATAAAATATTATCTTAAAATTCTGACAGGGCCAGGCACAGTGGCTCACGCCTGTAATCCCAGCACTTTGGGAGGCTGAGGCGGGTGGATCATGAGGTCAAGAGATTGAGACCAGCCTGGCCAACATGGTGAAACCCCGTTTCTACCCAAAATACAAAAATTAGCTGGGTGTGGTGGTGGGCACCTGTAGTCCCAGCTACTCAGGCAGCTGAGGCAGGAGAATTGCTTGAACCCGGGAGGCAGAGGTTGCAGTGAGCCGAGATTGTGCCACTGCACTCCAGCCTGGTGACAGAGCAAGACTCTGTCTAAAACAAAACAAAATAAAAAAATTCTGATGGTTGGGTTCCAACTACATGTTAATTGGCACGGGGTAAGTCTTTTTCAGTCTGCACTGCTATAACAAAAATACCATAGAAAGGATGGCTTAACAACAGAAACATATCTCCCATAGTTCTAGGGGCTGGAAGTCCAAGACCAGAGTGTCAGCATGGTTGGTTTCTGCTGAGGGCTCTCCTCTTGGTTTACAGACAGCCGTCTTCCTGCGGGAGAGCACGTGGCAGGGAGCAGAGGGAGAGGAGACAAGTTCTCCTCTGTCTCTTCTTATAACGGCACTAATCCCATCATGAGAACTCCACCCCTGTGACCTCATGACCTCCCAAAGGCCCCACCTCCAAATACCTTTCCACTGAGGATGATGGTGTCAACGTATGAATGCAGAGGGGAAATAAACAGCCTGGTACAGCCTGGTCTTCAGGATTTAAAACAAATCTCTCCAGTTGTCTCATGTACAGCTAGGTTTGAAAACCACTGGGTTAGATAAAGTCTGCAAGATGATCAGCTAATTTTCTGTGACCAGTTGTTTCTCATCATCTGAAACCCTGCATGGGACAGTGTTTTCAGAGGGTGGCAGGCCATCACCGTCCCTCCGTGTAACCTTAGGAAAAGCCAGCGTACGTGAGATGGGTGAGTGCCAGCTTCCCTCTCGGGCACCTAGGTGCCAAGAGGTGGCTAGGGCTGCCTCATACAGATCTGAAGTGCCTTGACAGCTATTGTTGACCTGCTAAGTCACAGGGAGGATCTCCGACAACAGCTAGCAAGCTCATCTGTCAGATAAGACTGGGTCCAAGCCCTGGCGTTGCCACTCACTAGCTGTGTGATCTGGGTTATTTCATTCAATTCTTGGGCTTCAAATTCATGCCACATATTTCCTCACAGGATTATTGTGAGGATTTAATGAAGCCATTAGTGTGTGAAAATCACCTAGCACATTGCCCAGAATGGAATAAGGACTCAATTCATGCTTGCTATAGTATTATGTAAGAAGAGCTATGTGATTCCCTGAAAATACTCATGTCACCAAGAATTTTTGAGTGTGTGTGTGTGTGTGTTTGTGAGTGCACATGTGTGTCTGGGAGAGGTTACAGCCCAAGAAGGGACTGTGCCGACAGCTACATCGTCAAGAGAACTAAGACCCCAAGTGGGGATGTCCTTACCACTTGCCCTTCCCTTCCTGCTGGCCAGCCTGGCAAACTCTTGCAAGGTGAGCAATGGGGGCCCAATTGTGCAAAACCCATTGTTGCTACAATCGCTCCATGACCCCAGCATTAGAGAAAATGCTGCTCTCTGGAGGCCCCGGCGTCTAGAAGGAGGGGGTGAAGTTAGTGGGGAAGAGAAGGCGACAATGGCAGAAAGAAGCCCCAAGGGCAGGTCTGATCTGCCTTTTCACCGGAACGTTCTGAGAGGGAGAGAGTCCACTTTTGACATTATGTCTTTGGGTTGAAGATTGCTGGTAGAAAGCTGTGGAGAACAGTTGTTTGAAGGGGAAAGGAGGTTAATTGTTTTAACTTGAGCAGAGTAAACTTGGAAAGTGAGAAATCCTCCCTTTTCCAATAGGTCTCTGGTCCAAAACCACACCTGGCCTCGCATCCTTCTAATGATAATCCCCACAGAGTTCCAGGTGTTCAGCCCAGTGACTGATTACGAGCCCTGCCGAGTTCAGAGGGACAAGATGGAGGCTATATATAAATCCGACAAAGTTTCAAAAGGTAAAAAGATGCATGACTGATGATGAGTGCTTGCCTTCCTTCGGGAGAGTGCTGGAGCTTTTATTTCTGCCCTGGCTGACACCTTGCTTTTGTTCCTTCTTGGAAGACGAGGAGGCCCTGTGGTCACGGTTCCCCATCTGTGAAATGGGGTGAGACCATCCACCCCGTGGGAACTCGTCTGTGCAAGGCGCCTTTGAAGGCCCCAGGGTACAACAGCTCCAGGCACTCTGCAGCGCTGGTGCCAGTATTCCCAATGGCAAAGGCGCCGGGGCCAGCTGACGCTTCAGGCGGTGTCTGAGAGCTGGTGGCAGGCAACACCTGTGAGTCGTTGGGGAAGGTTGCCAGGGAGGGCTGCAACATGGTGGCAACTGTGGGGAGAGGTCAGCAGGCAGCCCCTGTCTGTGTCAGGCGAGACGGGGCCTCTTGGAAGACGGGGGCTGGCATCTGGCTCTGTTCGCAGTCTCTGCAGCAGTCATTGAACCACACACCTCGACAGAAGGAGGCTAGCGCTTGGTAATGCCAGGAGGAAGTAAACTCAGAAAAGTCATGAAAGGTGAACGCGGAGTTGCTCAATGAGATACAGTCTCTAGAATTAAGAGGCACCCTGTGAAAGCTGACAGTCTGGGGAAATCATGGACTTTTAATATAGAAGAAGGGCTGGGTGCAGTGGCTCACGCCTGTAATCCCAGCACTTTGGGAAACCAAGATGGGTGGATCACTTGAGGCCAGGAGTTCGAGACCAGCCTGGGCAGCATAGGAAGACCCCCCCCCATCTCCACAAAAAATAATTTTTTAAGAACTAGCCATGTGTGGTGGTGTGCAACTGTAGTCCCAGCTACTGAGGGAGGCTGAGCGGGGAGGATTGCTTGAGCCCAGGAGTTAGAGGCTGCAGTGAGCTATGACTGTGCCACTGCCATCCAGCCTGGGCAACAGAATGAGACCCTACCTATTTTAAAAAATGGAATAGGTAGGAAAGATCCTCTTACCCAATTCCTTTCTTTTATAGACGTGGGAACTCAGGCCCAAAGAGTGCTGGTGGCTTGCTCGAAGTCTTGCATTAGAGTCTGCTGTGCACCACGGTCAAGGTTGTGTCAATTCTGTGGGGGTTGAGATAAATAGCAAAGTTGAACTACCAGTGGTTTCCTAGTTTTCAATATAACTCAGCCTCCCTAAATGGCTAAGCATATGTCACCCTTTGGGGATTTGCTTTCTTCCAAATACACTGAGCTTAAAGTGGCATTGGTCTAGCATGGTGGCTAGACCAAGGGAATGGAGCTCTGGTCTTTTTCGGGTTCTTGCCTGTATTCTGCTCCTATGCCAGAAGCATATTCTTAGAAATGGCATTTAGTGTAATAATTAAAATGTTGGCTGGGTCACAAGGTCTTTCCAAGCCCCTTGGGGTGGGAGGTGAAAGGTTTACCTCCCTTGAGGAAGCAGAGGGCTGCCTCTGAGTCGGAAGGTGAGTGTGGGTCCTGGAACAGGCAGACGTGGTGAGAAAGGGATTCACGTAGTCCTCAAATGTGACTTTCGGTGAGTTCCCCTGCAGTCCAGGGGCACACATTTCACAAGCAAAACAAAGTCATCTTCTGGGGAGCCCACAGGGCTGTGATCACTCCTTCTCCAACACCGAGGCCCCCTTGGCATGCCCACAACACTGGGGGCATCGTCAGGAGCTGTGGGGGCAAGCCGGGTGGCAGAAATGGTGAGAGCTGCATTGGTGTCTAGAATGGTCACAACAACTAGGTCCAGGTGGCACCTAACCTCACCCCTCAGCACCAAAGGACCTTCCTTAGGTGAGGGGGTCCCCAACCATACTGAACTGGGGATCTGCCATTTTGGGCTTAGTCTGGGTACTGTTTCTTATCTGTGGCTCTTAATGTCTGGATGAACTAGATATTTCACATCCGAGCTTCAGTGTCCAAAACTGCACGCTGTGTAAAAACATTATAGAATAATTAGGGTTATTGTAAGAATTAAACGAGGTAACATGGCACAAACACCAAGAATAGTCCCAGAGACTCAAGAGATGCTCAACAAATGGTGTTTATTTTCATTTTTCCCTTAGGGTTAAATATCATTGAAATTGTCATCTATGCACTAAGTTATCTTCCATTTGGGCAAATAAGCATTACGCACGCATGCACACACGTACATAGACACACACACGCACACAATCTCTCGCATGTAAAGTTTACAGGCAAAGAATCATAGACTATTAGTGCTCGAAACTACCTTGAAAATCCCTGAGTCCTGAGCTATGCTTGTGAAGGTGGGGCCTGGTGAGGTGACGTGCTTGGCCAGGGTTGCACGGGCAGAAGCAGCGTAACTTGTCCTTGATTCCAAGTCACACCATGGTCTCCAGAATTAGTTGTGGGATGTCTTGGGAGTGTGATCCTATTCTTTGGTGGTCAATATCAAGAAGATCAGCTATGTCTTTGTGGCACCAGAGTTTGGGATGGGGCACTGGGCTGGATGCATTTTCTGGCTGACCCAGAGTGTCTGATATAATTTTTTTTTTTTTTTTGAGAAGGAGTTTCACGCTTGTTGCCCAGGCTGGAGTGCAATGGCGCAATCTCAGCTCACTGCAACCTCCACCTCCCGGGTTCAAGTGATTATCTCGCTTCAGCCTCCCAAGTAGCTGGGATTACAGGTGCCCATCACCACCCCCGGCTAATTTTTGTATTCTTAGTAGAGACAGGGTTTCACCATGTTGGCTATGCTGGTCTCAAACTCCTGACCTCAGGTGATCCTCCCGCCTCAGCCTCCCAAAGTGCTGGGATTACAGGCGCGAGCCACCATGCCCAGCCCTGTCTGATATAATTTATTCCTCAACTATTTTGGGGATCATCATATGTCAGGTCCGGCCTCATGCAACTCTGAGCCTGGTAGCAGGGAGATTTGAAAAACATCACATTCCACTCTGCTGTGCTCCATGATCAAGGTTTCCTCAATTCTGTGGGGCTTGGCAGGTGTGGGGGTCAAGGTCCTTACTTATACCAGTTAATTCGTGGGAGACACAGAGAGTAGGGTTTGCCTCACTCTGTGTGTGCACACACATGTAAATTCTTTCCAGCATGATTGCCAAAACATGGATAATCCAACTTCCACTTCTTTGACTTGGTAAAAGAGAACTAGAAACACAAAAAGGTGAAATAGAAATTGGTCAGGCGCGGTGGCTCACGCCTGTAATCCCAGCACTTTGGGAGGCCGAGGTGGGCAGATCACCTGAGGTCAGGAGTTTGAGACCAGCCTGGTCAACATGGTGAAAAACACAAAAATTAGTCAGGTGTGGTGGCGGGCGCCTGTAATCCCAGCTACTCAGGAGGCTGAGGTGAGATAATCACTTGAACCCAGGAGGCAGAGGTTGTAGTGAGTCGAGATCGGGCTCAAGCAATTCTCCTGCCTCAGCTTCCTGAGTAGCTGGGATTACAGGCACCTGCCACCACGCCCAGCCTGTGTCGTGACAGAGCGAGACTTCATCTTTTAAAAAAAAAAAAGAAAAAGAAATAAAGAAATCACTGGATAGTTGGATAGTTGTTTTTTTTTTTTTTTTTTTTGTTTAAGACGGAGTCTCGCTCTGTTGCCCAGGATGGGTGGAGTGCAGTGGGGCAATCTCGGCTCACTGCAAGCTCCGCCTCCCGGGTTCATGCCATTCTCCTGCCTCAACCTACCGAGTAGCTGGGACTACAGGCGCCCACCACCACACCCGGCTAATTTTTTGTATTTTTAGTAGAGATGGGTTTCACCGTGTTAGTCAGGATGGTCTCAATCTCCTGACCTCGTGATCCACCCGCCTGGGCCTCCCAAAGTGCTGGGGTTACAGGCGTGAGCCACCACACCCGGCCAATCACTGGATAGTTCTAAGTCCATTTTTATAAAAAGCCTAAACATATTTTTCCCTCTGTTTCCTATCTCTTCCCTCTGATTTTCCTTTCTTTCTTTTTTCCCTGAAAACACTGCTGATCCCCTAAAGATAATATCTTTTCTCATCTCTGCTAAGCAATTGTTGTCTCTATCTAAACAGGTACAGTGTAAACAAATCACGACCAAACATTACTTAAGGGCAACATCCTTCTTGCTCATCTCTCCTGAGTCTCTGCCAAGTGAACCAAAGAACACAAACAAACTGCACTCCCACTCTTTAAAAGTCATGTTTATTTTCCTTGATTTTAAAATTACTCCACTCATTATGGAGCATTTGGAAATCACAGAGAAGAAAAAAAAAGTCACAAACTCTTATAATCCCACAAACTCTGGGGTCATCTATGTTAAAATTTTAGTCTTATTTTTAAGTCAAGAAAAGGGCACTTATAAAAAAAAAAGAACTAATACCAACAGTAATATTCTGAATTTTTTGTCTTTCCTTGACCTTATAGCAGAAGGTTTTACCCAAGTCATTAAATGTTCTTTGAAAACATAATTTTTAACGGCTGCATATTATTTCCTCATTTAGCTCACCCTTAATTCATGTAGCCGGATCACTGTTGTACCTTTAGGTTTCCAATTGTTCAATGTTATATGTCATTCTGTGATAAACACCCTTGTACACCAAATCCTGGGCGAATCTCCGAGAAACCCAGATGTCAGTTGAGATCATGACATTCCAGGTGACATTGTCTCAGAAGCTCCAATTCTGGTGGAAGCCACAGTCATCCTGAAGCTTTCTGCCAATTGATGGGGGCGTGGCCTGCTCAGGGCTGCCTTCTGCTCCTAGACCATGTCGATCCTGCCATAAAACGGAGCTCCTTCTTTGGATTTCACAACAGGAAATCACTCACAAGAAGCAGTACTGTGTTTAGAAGACACTGCTGAAGATTTTGGGGGTCCAGAGATGGTGCCACTTAGTGATCCTCTTCCTCCTTCCCATTTCTACTCTCCACTCTCTGGTCCTTCTCCTGAGTAATGCAGAGCGGTGACCGCATCCTGGGCAGTGGCAAGGCCGCTTGACAAGCAGACTCTTAAGCGTAGGGCTCATTTCCTACCCAATCATTGACTATAGCATCTTTTTCTCAGCAAAAAATTCGGATGCCAGCGGTTACGTTAATTCTCACACTTAGGAGAGATTATAGCATAGCAGGAGAATTACTAGGTCTAACAATATGAATACGAGACATTGAAAAATGTTTAAAACCAAGGATGAGAGATGTGTGGATAAGAAGAGAAATAACAGCACCATTCGTTTTGATGTTATTGTTTTAGAGACAGTGTCTTGCTCTGTTGCCCAGGCTGGAGGGCAGGGGAGCAATCATAGCCCACTGTTACCTTGGACTCATTCAAGCCTTCCATCTCAGCCTCCTGAGTAGCGAGGAGTATACCACCATGCCCAGCTATTTATTTATGTATTTATTTATTTATTTTTGAGATGGAGTTTCGCTCTTGTTGCCCAGGTCGGAGTGCAATGGCATGATGTCTGCTCACCACAACCTCCGCCTCCCAGGTTCAAGCAATCCTCCTGCCTCAGCCTCCTAAGTAGCTGGGATTACAGGCACGCCCCACCATGCCCAGCTAATTTTGTATTTTTAGTAGAAATGGGGTTTCTCCATGTTGGCCAGGCTGGTCTCGAACTCCCAACCTCAGGTGATCTGCCTGCCTCGGCCTCCCAAAGTGCTGGGACTACAGGCGTGAGCCACCGTGCCCAGCCCCAGCTATTTTTTTTATTTCTGTAGAGATGAGGCTTCGCTATGTTTTCTAGGCTGGCCTCCATCTCCCAAAGGGTTGGGACTATAGGATTGAGCACAGTTGTTTAATTGTTAACATTGCCAGACTCCAGGATCACCATTTTAATGTGAACAGCCAACTTAGCCCTAGGGGCTGGGCCCAGGAGTTACATTTACCTATTAACAACCTGAGAATTGTTCATTAGAAAGGGATTTATAGAAATAATGCTGCACACCTACAACCATCCGATCTTCAGCAAAGCTGAAAAAAACAAGGAATCAGGAAAGGACTCCTTGTTCTCCCAGCACTCTCCTTGTGCTGGGAGAACTAGCTAGCCATATGCAGAAGACTGAAACTAGACCCCAACCTCACACCATGTACAAAAATCAACTCAAGACGGATTAAAGGCTTAAATGTAAAACCTGAAACTATAAAAACCTTGGAAGATCACCTCAGAAATACCATTCTGGACATAGAACTTGGCAAAGATTTCATGACAAAGACATCAAAAGCGATTGTAACTGTATTAGCTCATTCTCACGCGGCTATGAAGAAATACCCGAGACTAGATAATTTAAATATAAAGAAAAGAGGTTTAATTGACTCATAGTTCCACAGGGCTGGGGAGGCCTCAGGAAACTTACAATCATGGCAGAAGGCACCTCTTCATAGAGCAGCAGGAGAGAGAATGAGTGCCAGTAGGGGAAATGCCAGACGCTTAGAAAACCATCAGATCCTGTGAGATCTCACTGACTCTCATGAGAAAAGCTTGGGGAAACCACACCCATGATTCACTTATTTCCACCTGGTCCAAATAATCCCCATTTGACACATGGGGATTATTACAATTCAAGGTGAGATTTGGGTAAGGACACAGAGCCGAGCCATATCAGTAACAACAAAAATTGACAAATGGGATATAATTAAACTAAAGAGTTTCTGCATAATGAAAGAAACTATCAACAGAGTAAATGGACAGCCTACAGAATGGAAGCAAATATTTGCAAACTATGCATTCAGCAGAGGTCTAATATCCAGAATCTGTAAGGAACTTACATTTACAAGCAAAAAACAAACAACTTCATTAAAAAATGGGCAAAGGACATGAGCAGACACTTTTAAAAAGAAGACCTCCATGTGGCCAACAATCATATGAAAAAATGCTCCACATTCCTAATCATTAGAGAAATGCAAATCAAAACCATAGTGAGATACCATCTCACAGGAGTCAAAATGGCTATAATTAAAAAGTTAAAAAAATAATAGATGCTGGTGAGGTTGTAGAGATAAGGGAATGCTTATACATTACCGGTGGGAGTGTAAATTAGTTCAGTCATTGTGGAAAGCAGTGTGGTGATTTGCCAAAGAATTAAAAATGGAATTACCATTCAATCCGGTAATCCCATTATTGTGTACACACCCAAAGATAAATCATTCTATCATAAAGACACACGCACACATATGTTCATCGCAGCACTATTCAGAATAGTGAAGACATGGAGTCAATCGAAATGCCTATCAACGGCAGACTGGATTAAGAAAATGTGGTACATATACAACATGGAATACTATGCAGTCATAAAAATGAATGAGATCATGGCCTTTGCAGCAACATGGATAGAGCTAGAGGCCATTAGCCTAAGCAAACTAACACAGGAACAGAAAACCAAATACCACACGTTCTCACTTATAAATGGGAGCTAAACAATGAGAAAACATGGATACTAGGAGGGGGACAACACACACGGGGGCCCCCTTGAGAGTGGAGGGTGGGAGGAGGGAGAGGAGCAGAAAAAGCATCTGTTGGGTACTGGGCTTACTACCAGGGTGCCAAAATTATCTGTACACCAAACCCCAGTGCACACAGTTTACCTGCGTAACAAACCTGCACAGCCGGGCCTGGTGGCTCATGCCTGTAATCCCAGCACTTTGGAAGGCTGAAGCAGACAGATCACCTGAGGTCAGGAGTTTGAGACCAGCCTGGCCAACATGGTGAAGCCCCGTCTCTACTAGAAATATAAAAATTAGCCGGGAGTGGTGTCACGCACCTGTAGTCCCAGCTACTTGGGAGGCTGAGGCAGGAGATTCGCTTGAACCCGAGAGGTGCGGGTTGCAGTGAGCCAAGATCACGCCACTGCACTCTAGCCTGGGCAACAGGGTGAGACTGCATCTCAAAAATAAACAAACAGACCTGCACATGTAACCCTGAACCTAAAATAAAAGTTTTAAAAAAGTGATTTATATATGATCTAGAAAACTGAAAGTCTGAAGAGACTCTAGTCTCTGCCTAAACTCCACCCCTTCCCCCTAATCCCCTGACCCCTGCTCCTTCTCACACTTTTGTGAGATCAGATTTAGAGGACAGGTAACATATTACCCGTTTTATTAATAGGTTTATCCTAAATAAATAAAAAAGAATATCCTAAAATGAGATTATTTCTCCAAATAAATTAATTCATTGGATTGTATTTAAAGCTGGCAGTGCCCCCTTCTCTGTTGTTTTGCTGTCAAATTTTCCAAACTTACAAGTGTCCGTTTGCCAGTCCTGTATGTGAAGACATCCAGTCAGTCTAGCAGTGGACTCTGACACTCTCCCCCTCTGGCCTTCTGGAATCTTTTAGCCTCGTGGCTGGCACTCAAACCCAGATGTCTGAGTTTCCAAGGCTGGTGTTTTTCCATGTATTACAGAAAACTCCAAGAGATGTCTGCAGTATTATTGTGGCCATCACCAGTTCCGCTCTTGTTAGACAGTGGGTGCTTCAGGTCAGATTTGGCCATCATACCTTTAATTCCCACTCTCATTTGGCTCATGTTAAGTGTTTAAAAAGAACATGAAAAACCTCTAAAGAAAACCTCACCTTCTCGCACCTTCCTGAAGGAAAACCCAGACTGCTCTCTCTCCCTCACTGCTATCTCTCTCTCTGTCTGCTATCCCTCTCTGTCTGCTGTCTCTCCCTTACTGCTATCTCTCTCTGACTGCTATCTCTCTCTCTGACTGCTATCTCTCTCTTTGCCTGCTATCTCTCCCTCACTGCTCTCTCTCTCCCTGACTGCTATCTCTCTCTGACTGCTCTCTTTCTCCCTGACTGCTATCTCTCTCTTTGCCTGCTATCTCTCCCTCACTGCTATCTCTCTCTTTGCCTGCTATCTCTCCCTCACTGCTCTCTCCCTCACTGCTATCTCTCTCCCTCACTGCTATCTCTCCCTGACTGCTATCTCTCCCTGACTGCTATCTCTCTCTCTGACTGCTATCTCTTCCTGACTGCTATCTCTCTCCCTCACTGCTATCTCTCTCCCTCACTGCTATCTCTCTCCCTCACTGCTATCTCTCTCCCTCACTGCTATCTCTCCCTGACTGCTATTTCTCCCTCACTGCTATCTCTCCCTCACTGTTATCTCTCTCCCTCACTGCTATCTCTCTCCCTCACTGCTATCTCTCTCCCTCACTGCTATCTCTCCCTGACTGCTATTTCTCCCTCACTGCTATCTCTCCCTCACTGTTATCTCTCTCCCTCACTGCTATCTCTCTCCCTCACTGCTATCTCTCTCCCTCACTGCTATCACTCTCCCTCACTGCTATCTCTCTCCCTCACTGCTATCTCTCTCCCTCACTGCTATCTCTCCCTCACTGCTATCTCTCTGTCTGCTATCTCTCTCCCTCACTGCTATCTCTCTCCCTCACTGCTGTCTCTCCCTCACTGCTATCTCTCTCTCTGTCTGCTATCTCTCTCCCTCACTGCTATCTCTCTCTTTGTCTGCTATCTCTCTCCCTCACTGCTATCTCTCTCTCTGTCTGCTATCTCTCTCCCTCACTGCTATCTCTCCCTGACTGCTATCTCTCTCCCTCACTGCTATCTCTCTCCCTCACTGCTATCTCTCTCTCTGTCTGCTATCTCTCCCTCACTGCTATCTCTCTCCCTCACTGCTATCTCTCTCTCTGACTGCTATCTCTCCCTCACTGCTATCTCTCCCTCACTGCTATCTCTCCCTGACTGCTATCTCTCCCCGACTGCTATCTCTCCCTGTCTGTTATCTCTGTCGGACTGCTATCTCTCTCCCTGACTGCTATGTCTCCCCGACTGCTATCTCTCCCCATCTGCTATCTATCTCTGACTATCTCTCCCTGTCTGCTATCTCTCCCTGTCTGCTATCTCTCTCTGTCTGCTCTCTCTCTCTCTGACTGCTATCTCTCTCCCTGACTGCTATCTCTCTCCCTGTCTGCTCTCTCTCCCTGACTGCTATCTCTCTCCCTGACTGCTATCTCTCCCTGACTGCTATCTCTCCCTGACTGCTATCTCTCTCCCCGTCTGCTCTCTCTCCCTGACTGCTATCTCTCTCCCAGTGTGGAAGAGAGGAAGAACCTCCTATTTTCAGACATGGCCTGTGGAGAAGAAAGCCCCAGGTTGCATCCACAGGGTGGTGTCTCTGGAAGATTCTGGGATAACCCTGTAAGAGTTTGGTGGAAGAGGCCGGGTGCAATGGCTCACGCCTGTAATCCCAGCACTTTGGGAGGCCAAGACAGGTGGATTGCTTGAGGTCAGGAGTTCGAGACCAGCCTGGCCAACATGATGAAACCCCATCTCTACCAAAAATACAAAAGTTAGCTGGGCATGGTGGTGTGCACTTATAATCCCAGCTACTCGGGAGGCTGAGGCAGGAGAATCACTTGAACCTGAGAGGCGGAGGTTGCAGTGATCTGGGAGCCCACCACTGCCCTCCAGCCTGAGTGACAGAGCAAGACTCAGTATTAAAAAAAATAAAAAGAGTTAGGTGGGAGGAATGAGTGCCTTCTCTGATTCAGGCGTTCTGGCATGTCACCTCTAGGGGATTGAAGGGGGACCCTCATTCTGTAGGACAGAGGGATAACCTTTCACCTCCATCCCCCAGATGTGCCCCAGGATCTCCTGTAGACACAGCCTACCTCCCCCTCCTATAATCCTCACCAGCGAGCACACTTGGGGTGCTGGTGACTCATCCTGGATCCTAAGGGAGGCTTCCTGAGGATGGGCCTAGTGAACCAAACTTGGAGACAGAAGGTGAGTATGGAGACAGCGGAGCCCAGCCCGGAGGGAAGATGGCCTGGACATGAGTCATCCGTCCTCATCATTCGCCCAAGGATTCGATGTTCCTTTGGCTGGCATCTATTTTCTCTTTGCAAAACTATTGATCCTGCTGCCAAATGTACCCTAAGCCTACCTTATGCATCAGTGAGATGAATGATAAATTCAGTAACCTGAGGACACAGTAACGAGAGGGCACAGAGGACAGTGACTTGGACTTTCATCAGTAGACTTAACACTGGTTGGGCCACGGCCCGAGCAGGACTGAAATTTAGCAGGAGATGAGGACAGTAACATTTGGGTTTGTTCACCAAGCCCCCAGCTTGGCACCAGAAATTTTTGGCTTTCTGCAAACAGCTGCACAGAAGCAGTGGCCAAACCCAGCTAGTGTGTGATGAGTCATCTTGCGTCAGCATCGTGCAGCACAGACATCCTATGAGGGCTCCTTTAGCTGCTGTGTCTGGTTTGGGCTTTTTCCAAAAGACGAGGGAGCCAAATACCTAAGCCCCCACACTAATGAGCACTTTGCGATTCCATGTAAGCAAAGTTATTTCACCTCCCAAGACGCATCTACACTCCTCATTATTCATTGGCTGGCCCCGTGAAGCAAGGCCGAAGAAACTGACTTGACTTAAATCAGAAAAATGAAAACGGAGAGGACTTGGCAGTATGTATCTTTAGGAAAGCATGAGACAGTGTAAAGTCCTTCTCTTTATTCTGAGGCCAGGGCTTTAGACTATAGTAAGGTTAGTCATTGAAACCGATTTCAAGTTTCTAAAGTTTTACCAAGTATGATGATAGAAACTACTTCTCTAGGGATTTTTAATATATTCATGTGCATATGATTTTAAAGTGGACAAGGCACTCTTCATATGCATGATCTTATGTAAACACTACAAAACTCCAAGAATCAAACATTTATTATGACCTCCATTTTACAGATGAGAAAACAGGTTCCTAAAAATGAAATTATTTGCTCAGGGATGATGTCACAAATCACTGACAGAGCTTAAACGCAGGAACCAACATTCTGACTCCAAATCCCATTGATGTTTTCCCCAAACGATACAAGAAATGTCTTAAATGAAAGTCCATGTGAATATTTTGAAGAACCCTTCCAACGTCTTACCTAGACTGTTTTGTGATGCTGAGAAATTGATCTACACGTGTGCATCCCTCACATGGCCACAAGATGGCAGGGTAGCCTCGATGATTGAGAAATTGGCTTCATTCCTTGCACCAGTAGAGGGCTGTAGTTCCATGTTTCAAAAAGTAAGACATGGAAAAAAAAAAAAAAAAAAAAGAAAAGAAAAGAAAAGAAAAACAAAACAAAACAAAACAAAACCCATCAGTGTCTACATTGATGAAATAGGATGGTGGGAGGTTTGTTTTTCTTTTTGCCTTTTCTTTTTTAAATTAGGCAGTGAGAGTTCAAACAAACAAGTCTCCATTTTCACCTCTGTGTTTGCTTTTGGAGGCACGAGGTCAGGACTTGGGCCAGCCGCCTAGCCTACATTATTCATCTGTCCAGTTCCAGCCCTGGAACAAATGTGAAGAAATGAAGTAGCTTCAGTGGAGGGAAAACAGTGTTGTTATTGTTGCTGGTGACAGTTCTATTTGCCAACAAACATAAAAACATACTTTGGAACCCAAATGGGCTTGTCAGAGGGAACTTTTGTTCCATGTTTGGGCTGGGATGCTTCCAGATAGAAATCAGGCTGGCATTTGAACTTCAGGAGGCAGGGAGAGAGCTGTGCACAGCAGCTACTGACCCGAAAGGCCAGGCCATCAGCTGCAGTTTTCATCTGGGTGTCGTTTGACCACAGCCCACGCGGCTCCGGGTTGCCAACTGGGGTCACTGCCCTGAATGGGTATTATGGGGGAGGAGAGCAGGGCAGGCAGGCCAGGAGGATGGGCTTGCCACAAAAGGGGATTAACAGGCTTTGGATTCTGAGTTTTTGGAAGGTGGTTCTCACTTTGGGGCTTTGGGATGGTGAAAGCGGTCGTGATTCTGGGGGATTTATTTGCTGTAAGGTCTCAATTATCCCAAGACTGTTGGCAGCACCTTGGAGATCCCTTTGCTACATGGATTAATTACTCCAGGGATAAAGCCATCCTCGCTGTGTCTGCTGGTGAGTGTTTAGGGTCCGCGAACTCATGTAAATGCCAGTCTAAGGAAGCATAATTCAGAAGGCCAATCTGCCCATCCCCTGCTACTGTTACATAATTCAAGGTGAAGGTCCCAACCACAGCTGTCCGGGGGCTGCCTCCTCCCTCGCAGATGGAAGAAGCTTGCTTGATGGACTGGACTTACACTAATACGCTATCTATTTGGAAAGAAGAGATGGCGATAAATTACTACCATGGTGAATATCATTAAAATGCCGCAGAACCAAAAGCACTGTGTGAATGTTAACTCCAGGCACCTCGCATAGCCACTCCACAAAGCTCCGGTATCACCCAACACTTTAAATTGAGCTCTAAAGCTGGAAAGGCATCTTAGAGATTAGCGGGTCCAGACGTTCGTGTCTAAGACAGCAAGCTCCCCCTAGGAGGAGTTCAAGAAATGTTTGGTGAATGAGTGAGCCTTTCATTTTACAAATCATGTAACAGCCCCTGGGAAGTGAAGCAATTGCCCCCATCGCACACCTCATTGGTGGCAGACCAGGCACTACGGCACAGCTGGCTAACTCTCAGGTTAGTCCTGTTTCAATTCCATTTTGCTGCCTAGCATTTAAAAAACTCATTTTTATTTTGTTGCTTTTTTCTTTTCAAGCCTTCTTTTGATCTACAGTTCGCTTCAGAACTACACAGTGATGAGGCGGAAACCTCTTGGTTCTCACCTTCAGATTCATTTGGTCTCAATTTCCAACCACTGGGCCTTGTAAACCTTAACTGGCTCTAGAGCTAAATAGTTCAATTTCCAGCATTCAGCCTCAGATTTATGGACACTTACGATAGAAGACTCAAATGTATTCCAATAGATCAGGGGTTGAAAACTTTTCTGGAAAGGGCCAGATAGTCAATACTTTAGGCTTTGCAGGCCATACAGGCTCAGTTACAACTATTCACTTTTGGGGTTTTAGCGTACAAGCAGCTGTAGAGAATACGTACATGAATGAGCATGGCTGTGTTCCAGTGTAAGAGAAAAATAGGCAGGAGGGGAAACAAATTCGGCCCTTGGGTCAAAGTTTGCTGACATTGCAAAGGAGGACTTGGTCTGTGACTTAGTATTTTCCAGCATATTCCAGATCTAAGCAAAGATGTATCATTCATTTTTGTAGAGTCCTTTCACATTCCCAGTCTATCCACCCACCTTAAATAGAATTCTTAATTTTTTCAATCAGAGACTTGACAGTCCTTATGAGGAAATGTATCTGTGTGGTGCTCTTGGGTTTATGTGTCAGGAAGTCTGGGTTTGTGAGATAGTGTCTTGGCTTGGCTTGGCTG
The DNA here is from genome assembly GCF_000001405.40 of Homo sapiens. Classification (NCBI taxonomy): domain Eukaryota; kingdom Metazoa; phylum Chordata; class Mammalia; order Primates; family Hominidae; genus Homo; species Homo sapiens. The sequence goes on along the minus strand of NC_000001.11, from coordinate 244,270,955 downwards.
GGTGGTTTGAGCAACAACATTTTATTCCTGAGTTCTGAAGGTGGGAGGCTGGGAAGTCTAAGATCAAGGAGCAGGCCGATCCAGAGTCTGGCGAGGGTCCCCTTCCTGGTTGGCAGGTGGCTTTTTCTCACTGTATCTTCATGTGGCAGAGAGAGTGAGAGAGTGCTCTTGTGTCTGTTCTCATAAGGGCACTAATTCCATTCATCAGGGCCCCACCCTTATGACCTGATCATCCCCCAAAGGCCCCACCTCCAAATACTGTCACATTGGAGAGTAAGGCTTCAACATATGAATTTTGGGGACATACACACATTCAGTTCATAGCTATAGGTAGGTAAAGCCAACACAATAGCAAACTTTAGAGATGAAGAAACTGAAGGAGGAGGATTGGAGGCTGGAATCTTAACTGTCTAATATGTACCCAACACTATGCTGTGCCAAGCACGGTACTACGTTACTGAATCCTTGCAAGATCTGGGGGAGATTTTCATTATTATGCCAACTTTATAGATAAATACTGAGAGATTAGATAATGTGCTCAAGTCTTATTCTAGGAAGCAGCAGAGCTCTGTCTAGAACTCTATCTAGTTCTGTCTGACTCTAATGCATGCTCCGTCCCCTGCCCCACACTGAAGAGTTCATTCTTACAAGTCATCACCTGTTCGAGAGGCAAGGATGGCATACTAATAATCTGTCCACACTTAATTCCCATACACTTGCTAGGAGCCTGATGTTTGTTGAATGTTAAAGTAAGTGCTTGAAGGGATGATTAGTATTTTTTTTTTTTTTGATGGAGTCTTGCCCTGTCGCCCAGGCTGGAGTGCAGTGGTGTGATCTCGGCTCACTGCAACCCTGCCTCCAGGGTTCAGGCAATTCTCCTGCCTCACCCTCCTGAGTAGCTGGGATTACAGGTGTGCACCACCACGCCCTGCTAAATTTCTGTACTTTTAGTAAAGACAGGGTTTCACCATGTTGGCCAGGCTGGTCTCAAACTCCTAACCTCAAGTGATCCACCCACCTCAACCTCCCAAAGTGTTGGGATTACAGGCGTGAGCCACCGCACATGGCTGACAAGATCTTTTAATTGTACACTTTAATCTAATATTCTCTTTAACAATAACTGTCTATCCCTGTCCCAAATCAGCTTGGCTACCAGATTTGAGTTATTAGGTGCAGGAATTCCCCCCTTCTTGCCCATGACATTAGGAGAGGTGGTGGTGGTGGTTTAGGAGTCCTCCCATGCCCAGTCAGTGCTGGGGCAGGAGTAGCGGTGCCCATGGGAGGCAGGGTTGCCAGGCTGTGTGTGGGGCCTGGGGAGAGAGCTCCTACTTCTTCATAGAATCCCTGTTTTCCGCTCTGGGTGGGCACAGGAAAGTCACTGATGGAAACAAAAGCACCATCTAGAACCTCAGAGACTGATTCTCAAAATTCATGTCCAATGTAGCCGTTCTGGGATGAACACAGGGTCTTCGGGCTGACGCCCTGTCCTTTGGTTGGTTGGGAATGATGGCTCGTGTCCATGTGACTTTGGAGAGGCTGTTTCTCTCCTGTCAGTTTCACTTTCCTTCTGGGGCTGAACCGGGCAACCCCCGATGCCCCTTCCAGGTAGAGGAAGAGAGAGCAGCCGGCGACACGCCACGGGTTCTCCCTGCGAGGCTGGAAGGGTAGTGAAATCATTTGAGATAAAAATGTAAGAAGGACTGAGCTTCCCACGGATCCAGAGGCCGCCCAGTGTGTGGCAAATTCTAGAGACTTTTTTTCCATACCTGGACTTCTCGTTTTCGGAGGCAGACCTCAATTCATCCCCAAAGAGAAATCTGAAATAGCAGAAAGAATTTCAAACAGGATAGGAATTTGGGTTCTGCCAAGATCCAGGGAAGACGCAGGGTGTGAGGATTTCAGGGGAGGTGATGGAGGGGTGGGTGGAAAGCGGCTGGTGTCCCCCGTCCCCTCTCAGGAGGCCTTGCTGGGACAGGCGAGCTCAGGGTGTGCAGCTTGTTTACTTGGGGCATGTGACTCGCCAGCTTCATGTCCGTTTTCTAGTCGGTAAAATTAGGGCATGGGTGATCATTTCCAATGTGTGCTACACACCAGAATCTGGGGCTGAAGGGGCAGGGCTTGCTTTTTTTTTTTTCTTTTTTCATTGTAATCCTTTATAATAGAAAGGATTTGCCTCCTTGTCATATTTGGTGCTAAATTATTTTCCAGTTTTTGTTAACTGGTTTTCTTTTTTTTCTTTTTGAGAGAGGACCTCACTCTGCTACCCAGGCTGGAGTGTTGTGGTGCAATCACAGCTCACCGCAGCCTTGAACTCCTGGGCTCAGGTGCCCTTTCTGTCTCAGCCTCCCAGGTAGCTGGGAGCACAGGCGCACACCAACATGACCAGCTAATGCTTTTGATTTTTAGTAGAGATGAGGTCTTTCTCTGTTGCCCACACTGGAATGCAGTGGCACAAACATGGCTCACTGCAGCCTTAACCTCCTGGGCTCAAGCGATCCTCCCACCTCACGCTCCTAAGTAGCTGGGACTACAAGTGCACACCACCACACCAGGCTAAGCGTTTTTCTTTACTTTTAAATTTTCTTTATTTTTTGACATCAGAGCATTTAATGTAATTAATTCTAGAAATATTTTCTTTTTCTGAGACAGAGTCTCGCTCTGTCACCCAGGCTGGAGTGCAGTGGCACGATCTTGGCCCACTGCAACCTCTGCCTCCCAGATTCAAGTGATTCTCCTGCCTCAGCCTCCCAAATAGATGGAACTGCAGGCACCCGCCACCACACCAAGCTAAGTTTTGTATTTTTAGTAGAGACAGTGTTTCTCCATGTTGGCCAGGCTGGTCTCAAAGTCCTGACCTCAAGTGCCTCCCAAAGTGCTGGGATTACATGCGTGAACCACTTGTGCCTGAAAATAGAAATATTTTCTTTCATAATTTTTTTCGCATTGTTTTTATGCTTACAAAATTTTTTCTTTCTCATGTGGAGGAGATCAGGTATTTATGTACAACTTTTAATGGTTTTATTATTTACGTTTAACTTTAACATATTTTGTTTTTAAAATTTGAAATTAATTCGTACACATTAAAAAATTCAAGAAACGTGTGTGTGAGTTTTCATGAGAAATGAAAATACCACATTCACACACAATTGCACTACCTTTCCCAGAGACAACTACTGTTAACAATTGATGGGTGAATTCTTCAGAGTTTCTCTCAATTTGAGGCGTGTGTGTGTGTGTGTGTGTGTGTGTGCGTGCACATGTATGTGGCATTTATTTTTATATAGGAAAATAGACATGTATACAGTACATATCATTCAACAGCTTGGTTTTCTTCACAGGACACTAGTTTTGGAGATCTTTCCATGCCAGTGCACATAGCTTTGCCTTATTCTTCTTAACTGTGTAATATTATACAGTGTACATGTACTGTAATTTACACAGGACTTTGAAATTCACTTAAAATTTGTGTCAGTGTGAGGTGAAGATGAAAATGGATTTCGCTCTCCCAAATAGCAACCCTCTCCTGTGTGCTGGGGGGATATTTTCTTTTTTTTTCCCTTTTCTTTTTCATTTTTTGAAACAAGGTTTTGCTCTGTTGCCCCAGCTGGAGTGCAGTGGTGCAATCTTGGTTCACTGCAGCCTCGAACTCCAGGGCTCAATCGATCCTCCCATCTCAGCCTCCTGAGTAGCTGGGACTACAGGCACATTCCTCAAGCCTGGCTCATTTTTTGTAGAGACAGGGTTTCACCATGTTGCCTGGGCTGGTCTTGAACTCCTGGGCTCAAGCAATTTGCTCCCTTTGGCCTCCTAAAGTGCTGGGATTACTGGCATGAGCCACTGCACCCGGCCCGGATGTTTTTATAGTTTGCTTTTTAAGATAATGCAGTGGACAACACAATTTAGAAATAAGGAGAGCAAAATCTGTATACCACATGGGAAGTATCATTTTTTTCCTGTTTTACACCTGGGCAGGTAAGGTGTAAAGTGGGAAGTGGGAGGTCAAGGGGTCGCCCAGGCTACACATCTAAGTGTGGAGCTGGGACTTGAATTCAAGTCTCCTGACTGGGAGTCCAAGCTTTCCTTGCACTGCAGCCAAGAATTTAAGAAGTTTCACCAATAAAGAGGCAAAGAATCCCTTCCTTTCTCCCTGCCACCTGTTCTCCCTTCCTTCCTCCTTTGAACAGTTATTTATTGAGCTTCTACTGTGTGGCAGGCACTGCGCGAGGGTTTGCCATGAGAAAGCCTCACGACTTGCAGAAGGTAATGATTCTCAGCTTCAGCTTCCTTATGTGTGTAATGATCTGTGAGGTACAACGAAGCTCTAAGATCCCATCAGAAAGATTCATCCAGTTAACCAGGAAATTAAATTCACCAAATCACCAGTTGCCTTGAGCACTTTGTTTAAACAGCAAGGATTTACTGTCTTATTTTGAGAACTTCATAGGGTTCCCTCACTGGAAGGGGTTCTGTATAATCCATTGGTCTGTCTGACCCCTTGCTCTGGACAGGTGAATGATAAATTTTTCAGGAGAGACATTGCCTAGTCTTTCTATTTCTTTTTGTTGTTTCTGTAGGTTTAAAACAACAATTGATTATCTCAAGGGCTCTGTGGCTCAGGAATCTGGGCCTGGCTGAGCTGGGTCCCTCTGGCTCAGGGTCTCTTGCCAGGCTGCAATCAAAGATGATCCTGGGATGGAGCCATCTTAAGGCTGGGTTGGGGGAGGATCCACTTCGCAGCTTACTCACTGGCTGTTAGCAGGATTAGTTGGCAGGATTCAGTTCCTTACTGGCTGCTGGCTGGAGACATTAGTTCCTTGCTACGTGGGCCTCTCCACTGGGCAGCTTGCAACATGGGACCTCACTCTCTTCACAGCAAGTCAGCAAGAGAAGGTGTGCTAGGATGGAAGCCACAGTCCGTTGTCACCTCATCTTGGAAGTGGGGTCCCATCGCCTCAGTCACAGAGGCGGGGACCATCAGGGGACATCGACCACAGTAGGAATTGCCGTGTTCCTTAGCAGAGGCATAGAAAGGCCAGGTGACTCTGCTGAGGTCATACAAGAGATGGTGGAGGAGCTGGGTGACAATCAAGGTAGTCTGGCTGCAGAAGCTGCTCTCATTGCTACCATGCTACACTGTGCTGCCCCACAGTTAGAATGCCAGGGGATGCATTTCCTGAACTTAGAGGACCAGAGGGCACAGGCTCAATCATGAAAGGTACTGGCTAGGACAGGGACACTTAGCCTTTTCCTTGCCACTGCAACTATTGTGAAATACAATTAGAGGAAAAGTTAGCACCTACTTCATGATGGCTATCTGGTGCCTTTCCGTTGTCTCAAAGTTCAAAACACATGCCTTTGCACATGATGATTTGCAAAAAAAGTATGCAAAAGGACACAGAGAAAAGTGTATCTCCCACACCTCCTTCCCCCGGCACTTCACTTCCCTCCTCAGTAGCAGCCCCCAGTACCAGTTTCTTGCCTGTCCTTCTAGAGATATTCTCTGCATGTACAAGCTTGTGAGAATACCCTTTTTGGTTGTTTTTAAAAAACACACACAAAAGATGAAAAAGGCAACTCACAGAGTGGGAGAAGATATGGACTCATCTAGTATTTAGTAAAAACAAGCAAAAATCCTACAAATGAAGAAGAAAGAGATGGATGACCCAACAAGAAAATGAATGGAAGACATTTTACCAAAGAAGAAAGCAAAATGGGCCTTGACACAAGAGATGCCAAACCTCACCAGTCATCGGGGAAATGTACAAAATGGCAACGAGATACCCCCTTAACACGTGGGGATGGCAAAAACAGGGTGGGAAATGCCAAGAGCTGGTGTGCATCAGCAGGGTATGAGTGAGCCAGTTTCTCCACAGCCTCGTCAACATGTGGGTTGCCACCATATTTTATAAGTCACTCTTATAGGTGTGCAGAAATATCCCATTGTGGTTCCAACATGCCTTTCCCTCATAGGTGGGGAAGCCTAAAGTCCCTTCACATGCTCACATGCCATCTGTAGGTCTTCTTCTGTGAAATGCCTGTTCAAGTATTTCCCATTATTTACTTGGATTATCTGTCCTTTTATGGTGAATTTTGAGAGTTATTTCTATATTTTAGGTTGTTTCCTTTCTTTTAAAGTTTCATTGATAATTTTTTTTTGAGATGGGGTCTTGCTATGTTGCCCAGGTTGGTCTCAAGCTCCTGGGCTCAAGGAATCCTCCTGTCTCAGTCTCCCAAAGTGCTGGGATTACAGGTGTGAGCCACTATGACTGGCTCCTTGTTCTTTGCCTTCAAAATGGACTTTAGCTATTTTTGGCATTTGTTCTCCCATATACATTTTTTTTTTCTTGGATCAGCACGTCAAGTTTTATCTGAACTCATCAGATTTAGAGAACTGTGGAGAGTTTCTAAAGAATCGGCATCTTTATGATATGTAGTCTTCTCATTCATGAATGCGGTCTAATCCTCCATTTATTCAGGATTTCTTTTATGCCTTTTGATAATATTTTGTAACTTTCTTCAAAGAGCCTTGAACATTGTTAGAGGAGAACCTTGCTCTTTGATCTTGGTTTCTATCCGGAAGGAGTTTCCCCAAGCACACTTCCTTCCCTTCACCCACTTCATCCTTGGAGAGAGGTAATGGCCCATCTAATGTCAGATTAGCAAAGACCACCTAAGTTTAGTTCCATCTTTTTTTGGTGGGTGAGTAAGAAGCCTGCAGTGAGGAGGCATTTTGTTTGTTTCTCTAGGGCAGGTTTGTATTTTGCTGGAGGTCCTGTTGAATATAACTTGTGGCAGTAGCATGATTATCTCACTCCTTGCCTCAGAGAAAAAGTTTCAACATTTTCCCATTAAATATGATGTCTCCTGTAGGTTTTATATAGATGCCCTTCATCAGTTTTAGTAGTGTCCCTCTACTTCTAGGTTGCCAAGCATTTATGTCATGAATGAATGTTGAATTTCATCAAATTATCCTCTGCATTTCGAAATGATCATATGATTTTTCTCTTCTTTTTTGTCTACAAGGTGAATTACACTTTTTTTGGATAATTTTTAATTTTGGTTATCATTTAAAACATGTAAAAATTGAAGATTTGTACAAGAAACTCTTACAACCCTTTACCCAGATTTACCAGTTGTTTACTTTTTGCCTCATTTGCTTTATCGTTCTTTCTTTACACACATATATATGAGCATGTTGTTTATTTTTGGTACCATTTTAGACTAAATTGGAGATAGTATGTCCTTTTACCCCTAAGTACTTCACTTTATATTTACTAAGAACAGAGACAGTCTATGGCAGGAATTCATTGAAGGCAGGAAATCAAACTCTGATACATTCCTATTTCATATGTGTGAATATTAAACCAACTTTGCATTCTCAGAATAAACCCCCCTATGGATGACATGATGTTCTATCCTTATTATATTTTATTGATGTCGATTGGTTTGACTTTGCCTATCTCCCTTCCTTCTTTCCTGCCTCCCTTCCTTCTTTCCTCCCTCCCTCCGGTATTTCCTTCCTCCCTCCCCCCTTTCCTTCCTCCTTTTCCCCTTTATTTCTCCCTTCCTTCTTTCCTCCCTCCTCCCTCTCTTCCTTCTCCCTTTCTCTTTTTCTTTCTTTTGTATTTATGGGAGAGTTGACCCTATAATTTTCTTCTTGGAAATGAACTTGTTCACTCTCAAACAGTGAGTTGGGAAGTATTCTCTCCTTTTCCATTCTCTCGAATAGTTGTGTAAGATTCGTACTATTTATTTCCTTAAATATTGTAAAGAATTTACTCCCGAAGGCATGGGAAGATTTTTTTTTTTTTTGAGATGGAGTCTCTCACTGTCACCTGGGCTGGAGTGCAGTGGTGTGATCTCTGTTCACTGTAACCTCTACCTCCTGGGTTCAAGTGATTCTCCTGCCTCAGCCTCCCGAGTAGGTGGGATTACAGGCGCCCACCACCATGCCCAGCTAATTTTTTGTATTTTTAGTAGAGACAGGGTTTCACTATGTTGGCCAGGCTGGTCTCAAACTCCTGACCTTGTGATCCGCCCGCCTCTGCCTCCCAAAGTGCTGGGATTATAGGGGTGAGCCACTACGCCCAGCCAGGCATGGGAAGGTCTTTTATATAAGATTCACTTTAATAGCTGTAAGACTAGATTGTCTCTCTTTTTGTGTCCATTTAGTAAGTGATTTCTAAAAAAGTGGTCATTTAATCTAATTTTCTAGTTAATTGTTATAAAGTTGCTCATAATATCATCCTATTATCTTTTTAATATATGAGGATATAGAGTTATGTCTCCCTTTTCATTTCTAGTATTTTTAATTTTCCCTTCTCTCTTTTTCTCTTGATTAGTCTTACTATGGATTTATTAATTTCATTAGCCTTTTCCAATAACCAGCATTTGGCTTTGCTGATTCTCTCTTATATTAATATGTTTGCTTTCTATTTTATTAACTTCTAGTTTTATATTTTCATTTTGTTCATTTTACTTTCTTTTGTTTAATTTGCCATTTCCACCCCACCAACTTCTTGAGACAGATGCTTGAAACACTGATTTTCAGTCTTTCTTCTTTTCTAATCATATGCATTTAAAACTAAAATTTTTCCTTTAAGCATCACTTTAGCAGACTTCCCTAAGTTTTGGTATGTAATATTTATCATAATTTCTAAATACTTTCTCATTTTTGTTGTGATTTCTTCTTTGACTCTTAAATAATATAGCAGTGTATTACTTAATTTCCAAATATATGTAGGGATTTTCTAGCTTTTATGTGATTGATTTCTAGTTTAATTTTGCTGTAGTAGGATAATATACTCTATATGATTTTGATATTTTCAAAGTTGCTAAGACTTGCTGTGTGGTCAGTATTATAAAGGGTACAGGTGTACTTGAAAAGAATGACTATTATTTAGTTCTCAAGTACAGTGTTCTAAATGTGTGAATCAGTGCAAGTGTGTGAATCATATTTTTCAATTTTTTTATATTATTACCAAGTATTTAGGTCTTCTTTATTAGCTACTGAGAGAGGTGTGTTAATATAATATCTCTCCCTGTGATTTTGGATTTGACTGTTTCTCCTTTGGTTAAGTCAGTTTTTGCTTCATATATTTTTGGTCTATGTTATAAGCTATGTACAAATTTAGAATTATTACATCTTCCTGACAGATTGAATCTTTTATATATAGCTGTAAAATTCTAATCTGATAATCTTTGCTTTTTGTTGAATTTAATTAGGTTTCATATGTGTGATATATTGTGACTTATCATTTCCAATGTTTTTCTTCAAGTATCTGTTTGGCTACTTTTTCCCCTTCTGATTCTTTTTGGGACATTGATTCTCCTCTCCCGATCATCCCTGCCTGAAGACTCCCCATTTCACCTTTGTCCCTCATTGGTTTGGAATTCTTCAAACACCCATTGATCATAATCACACCTACCTCCTTTTTGCTATGAGTGTAAACAGCTTTAGCTTTGCTTTTGAAATAAAAGTTATATTGTATTTGTATTTGTACTCTCCATAGTTAATTATAATTGATATTCTATCAACTTTCATACTCATCATTTTTTTCCCCTTCCATACCACAATTTCTCTTTGGGTTTAATTGTTTTTTCCCCCCACCTTGCTAAAGGACATCTTACAGTGAGAGTCTGTTTGGGTGGAAGCAACCTTAATCTTTGCATATCTGTGAACATTTTTATATCACTCTCACTGTTAAATGTTAGTTTAACTCCGTATAAAATTCCAGGTTGATGGTTATTTCTCCTCAGCATTTTGAAGCTATTATTCCATTCTCTTTTGACTTCCACTGAGGATGATATAAAGTTTGTCAAATACCTAATTGTTATTTCATTGCAAATAATTCATCACTTCTCTCTTATAGCTTATAAGATTTTTTCTTTACCTGTGTAGTTGTATATAGTTTCACTATGATGAATCCAGCTGTGGATTTATACTAGAGAGCTGAGAACACCTTTCTCTAGAATTTCATGTCTTTCTTCAATTATGGAAAATCATTAATTATTAGCATTTACAAATATTACTTCTCTGTCATTCCCAACATTCACTTATTTTTGGAATTCTTTTAAATGAATCTATGAATTTCTTAATTTAGTCTCTGTATTTCTTAACTGCTTGTATGTGTATATGTATATGTATATATATTCAATATCAGATATATGTATATGTATACAAACACACAGACATATAGTTAAATTTTCTTTTTCTTTTTCTTTTTTAAAGAGACAAAGTCTTGCTATGTTGCCCAGGCTGGTCTTGAACCCTGGGCTCAGCCTCCCAAAGTACTGGGATTGCAAGCATTAGCCATCGTGCTGGGCCTCATTTTTTCTTGTTGTTTCCCTATGCTGTGTTCCACAAGAATTCTTCAGTATTCTCTTCTAATTAACATATTCTTTATTTGATTGTGTCAAGTCTAGCTTGATCTCATATACTGATTTTTTTTTTTTTTTGAGATGGAGTTTTGCTCTTGTTGCCCAGGCTGGAATGCAATGGCGCAATCTTGGCTCACTGCAACCTCCACCTCCCAGTTTAAGCAATTCTCCAGCCTCAGCCTCCCGAGTAGCTGGGATTACAGGCTTGCACCACCACACCTGGCTAATTTTGTATTTTTAGTAGAGACGGGTTTCACCATGTTGGTCAAGGGGTCTCGAACTCCTGACCTCAGGTGATCCACCCACCTCAGCCTCCCGAAGTGCTGGGATTACAGGTGTGAGCCACCTCACCTGACCCTATACTGAATTTTTAAAGGAATCTATTTTTATATTTCAAGCCTTCTAGTTGTTTCTTATTCATATATAACCGTTCTTTTATTTTTTCCCTCTCCACATTTTCTTGGTGTCTTAAAATGAAAGATATTATTTCATTTATATCTTTGTGCATTATAAACATTCTTTTTTTAAAAAAAAATCTTTTCTAGGCTGTTCCATAAAATTGATTTAATCAGAAACCAATTCACATTCAGGGTCTTAACTTCATTCTCATTAGATTTCTTTATGTTTCGGGATTGGGTTTGTGCTCTGATTGTGAGTGGGAGGTTTGTGTTTGTTTTCTCTCTCTCCACCTCACCTACTCCCCCCATTTCCCTCTCCTTCCCGGTGATTTCACAGCTGCTTTGAGTTGTTGCATCCAGGTCTCTAATCCTGAATCGTGTCCACTGTTACACGGCTCTCCTCCCATATTAGGCAGGGTTCTCCAGGGAAAAAGAACCTGTAAGATACTTACGAGATTCACATGGATTTGTTGTGGGAATTGGCTCCTGCAGTTATGAAGGCCAAGGAGTCCCGTGATCTGTTGCCTGCAAACTGGAGAACCAGGAAAGCTGGTGGTGTCATTTTCTTTCAGTGCAAAGTGCAAAGGCTTGAGAACCAGGACCTCTGATGTTTGAGAGCAAGAGAAAACGGATGACCCAGCTCAAAGAGTGTGAGCCAATCCATCACCTTCGTCTGCCTTTTTGTTCTATTTGGGCCTTCACTGGATGGGATGGTGCCCACCCCATGGGTAAGGGAGATCTTCTCACTCAGTCTACTGACTCCTGTGCTAATCTCTTCCAGAAATACCCTCACAGACAGACCTTGAAATGATGGGTTACCGGCTACCTGGGCATCCCTTAGCCCAGTCAAGTTGACACATGAAATTAGCCAACATACCTACCCTAGCAACATTAGGGCTATCATATCCACAGACACGACATTTGATTTAGGTTCTTTGTCACAAACGCTTCCTTTCCACAGCGTACAAAGCTGAAGCCCCAGATGCTATTGTGTCAGCAGCTTACTTTTTCGATTTCTTTCATCACCCATCCGAGTCCCTGCCTGCAATGAAAATTATTCCACTTCCCCTGTCATATGGAGCACTAGTAATTCCCCTGCTCTGCAGGATGCAAATTTTAGGCTGTCCCTTCCTATAGGATGCTAGTTTCACCACTTTTTGTTTTGATAACAGAGGTAATTATGTTGAGCCCAGTTATTTTGCTTTTGATTTGTTTCTTACCTATCAGTGCTATGTCTTTGCAGTCAAGGCGTGTGAGACAGAGCGTGACGTCCCTGCACTGGCTTCCCCAGGATCCTGTCTTCTTTTTGAGGCTCTCCACACTCTTCCTCCTCCAGTGAATTGTGCACTGTTATGTTTCAGGTAGTTCTGAGGACAGCCTTGATGCCGGCGCTGGGCAAAAATAAAGGGCTCCCACTTCCACTCTCAGCTCCCAGAGGGATGTCCTTGGCCGTATCGCCAGGACATCTGCCCAGGAAAGGAACAGGGGAGTATAAGAAGATATCAGCTGCAAAGACCATCCTTCATTGTAAGAACGATGCTGGAGGAGAGGACGTGGAGGGATAGGGGGCTTGTTCTCTCCCCTGTTCCACTCCACCAAACTTCCCAGAGAAAAACAATTTTTTTTTTCTTTTTTGAGACAAGGTCTTGCTCTGACACAGAGGCTGGAGTGCAGTGGTGCAATCACGGGCTCACTGCACCCCTGAACTCCTGGGCTCAAATGATCCTCCTGCCCCAGCCTCCTGAGTAGCTGGAACTACAGGCATGTGCCACCATGCCCTGCTAATTTATTTTTATTTTTGTAGAGATGGAATCTCCCTATATTGCCCAGGCTAGTGTTGAACTCCTGGGCTAAAGTGACCCTCTTGCCTCAGCCTCCCAAAATGCTGGGATTACAGATGTGAGCCACTGACCCTGGCAGAAAAAGATGTTTTAATTGCCAGAAACATATGTGGAAATACTGAAAGAACAAGAAATTAGCTGCCTAAATTTTGTTACCTTTTTTTTTTTTTTTTTTGAGATGGAGTCTCGCTCTGTCGCCCAGGCTGGAGTGCAGTGGCACAATCTCGGCTCACTGCAAGCTCCGCCTCCTGGGTTCACGCCATTCTCCCGCTTCAGCCTCCCAAGTAGCTGGGACTGTGGGTGCCCGCCACCACTCCCGGCTAATTTTGTTTTTGTATTTTTAGTAGAGACAGGGTTTCACCATGTTAGCCAGGATGGTCTCAATCTTCTGACCTCGTGATCCGGCCGCCTCAGCCTTCCAAAGTGCTAGGAATACAGGTGTAAGCCACCACACTTGGCCAGTAACGATAATAATTCTTTTTTTTTTTGACACGGGATCTCACTCTGTTGCCCAGGTTGGAATGCAGTTGTGCGATCTTGGCTCACTGCAACCTCTGCCTCCTAGGTTCAAGTGATTCTCCTGCCTCAGCCTCCTAAGTAGCTGGGAGTACAGGCATGCACCACCACACCTGGCTAAGTTTTGTACTTTTAGTAGAAACAGAGTTTTGCCAGGTTGCCAAGGCTGGCCTTGAACTCCTTGGCTCAGGGGTTCTGCCCACCTCAGCCTCCCAAAGTGCTGGGATTACAGGCGTGAGCCACTGCAACTGGCCACCTTTTTATAATTCTTATGACACTGTAAATAATCTCAAAAGTTCCCAATTAGATAGAAAATAAAAGTAAAGAAAAATGGGCCAGGTACAGTGACTCACATCTGTAATACCAGCGCTTTGGGAGGGCGAGGCAGGAGGTTTGCTTGAGGCCAGGAGTTCAAGACAAGTCTGGGCAACATAGTGAGACCCCATCTCTACAAAAAATTTAAAAATTAGCTGGACATGGTGATGCACACCTGTAATTCTAGCTACCTGGGACTGAAGCAGGAGGATTGCTTGAGTCTAGGAGTTTGAGGTTGCAGTGAGCTATGACTGTGCCACTGTACTCTAGGCTGGGTGACAGAATGAGACCTTATCTCAAAAAAAAAATTATAAGAGAAAAATGAAGAACATTTTTTATGTAATTGACTATAGTACAGAATAGAATTGGAATTTAAAGTTGCTATTGTAGTTATTTTATTTTATTATTTTGGAGACTGGGTCTTACTATGTTTCCCAAGCTGGTCAGAAACTCCTGGTCTTAAGTAATCCTCCCACCTCAGCCTCCCAAAGCCCTGGGATTACACCAGGTGAACCCTCCTGCCCGGCTCTGTAATTTTATATTACTTATTCTTAATATATTTTCTTTAAAAAATATTTGAAAATAATTGTTATTTAAATTACCTAACCTTGTATATTAATTAGTTCCTGATATTTCTTAAATAAAGGATTCCTGTGCTGTGCACTGATGTGTAACTCAATCTGCACACCGTGTAAAACTCTTGGATTGGAACAAATCTAAGAGATGAAATTTTTTCCAGGATAAAGCTGAACCTAACCGCTCACCCAGTGTGAATATTCTCTTTACAGCCTGTTAAACAACACAGCTATAGAGGCACATGTGGTTTTGTGTGTATGTGTGTGTGGCTACGAAGGGTTAAAATCTCAGGTTCTCCTAATTCTGTGAGCATGTGGTGGCCAGCCCAGAGCCAGATTGAGCCATGTTAATTTCCCAGAAGATTTCAAGGAATTATTTTTTGAAAAGGGAAGTTTGGACTAATAAAAACCAGGATAACCTCCGGCAGTCACATGGAAAAGAACAGAGACAAATTACTCCCGGTTTGTTCGACATTGTGGCCGGGGGCTTTCTCTAGCCAGACCAGACTGCTTTGTTTTTCCTTCATTCCAAATAGAGGAGTGATTTCAGTCATGTGCTGGGAAAGGTAAGAGCAGCAAAGTGATGCTGAGTGCTCCTCTGTGCTCTCTTTCTTGGGTTCGGCTCTTCCAGAGGCGCGGTAGGCGCTGCGAGGGCTCCGGCGTCATCAGGCCCCAGGTTTGGATTCCTGTTTGGCCACTTTGGGGAAATTTATGTTTCCCCTCTGAGCTTCAATTTCTATAACTATTAAGGAAGATAATTAACCTCATAGCCATCATGTTGAAGATTTGGATGTGATAAGGTCTGTAACGTGCCTGGCACATAGTAAAGACAAAAAAAATGCATAGAAATGCCTGGCTTACCCTCGGATCAGCTCCTCTCTTCAGGGTCTCATAGCTGTGGAAACCTCACCTCTTTTGTAAATAGCTCCCTGCAGGAGCTATTTGTAACCAGATGATTGACAGAGGGTTTGTGTACACATTAAGGCATTTTAAAATAAAATATCGGTTATCTATTGGCTATTGGCTATGTAACAAATTTCCCCCAAAATTAGGAACTTAAAATAATCTTCTTTTTTTTTTTTTTTTTTTTTTTTTTTTAAGAAACAGGATCTCAGTCTGTTGCCGAGGCTGGAGTGCAGTGTTGTGATTGTGGCTCACTGGCTCGTGGTAGCCTCAACCTCCTGGACCCAAGCAATTCTCCTACCTCAGCCTCCTGAGTAGCTAGAACTACAAGCATGCACCACCATGCCCAGCTAATTTTTTTTTTTTTTGGCTTTTTTACAGAGACAGGGATCTCACTATGTTGCCCAGGCTGGTCTCAAACTCCTGAGTCCAAGCGATCCTCCTGCCTTGGCCTCCTAAAGTGCTGAAATTATGGGTGTGAGTCACTGCACCCAGAGAAAACAGAAACAACCATTTTATTATGCTGACAGATTCTGTAGGTCAGGAAAGCACAGCTCCATGATGTCTATGGCCTCGACTGGGAGAACTGAAAAGTGACAGGGGGCGGAGGGCGGGTGGCGGTGACCAGCCCACTGGGGGAAGAAATCATTTAGAGATACGTTCATGCACATTCCCAGCTGTCAGTTAGGACCTCACACTAGGAACACCCACACATGGCACCTCCATGTGGCTTGGGCTTCCATACAGTATGGCGGTTTCGTACTTACATGGCAACTGATGGCCTGAAGGCAAGTTTCCCAAGAAAACCAGGCAAAAACAGTACCACTTTTTAGGTCCTAGTCTTGGAAGAAGTCACATAGCATCACTTCTGCTGGGTCTCAAGCCCTTCCAAGTTCAAGGGGAG
Source organism: Homo sapiens (assembly GCF_000001405.40). Classification (NCBI taxonomy): domain Eukaryota; kingdom Metazoa; phylum Chordata; class Mammalia; order Primates; family Hominidae; genus Homo; species Homo sapiens. The sequence continues at coordinate 244,255,123 of NC_000001.11, read as the reverse complement.
GGAACGTGGACTTCACCTCTTGATGGCAAGAATGTCAGTCATATTGTGAGAACATGTAAAATGGGATATGTGGCATCTTTGGAAAATACAATCTGCCCCAGGGTTGAGTGAGTCAATAGTAAGTCCTCAAAACATTTCACTGGACCTGGTGAAGTATGAAAAATATATTTGAGGAGAATAGCTACAAGGCCATTGCCACTGTGGTTCGGGTGGGAAATAATGAAGGCCTGAAAAAAGCAGCAACAGAGAGAATGGAGAGAAGGAGGTGGCTGTCAGAGTTGGCCCTGGGATAGAATCACTCTCCTGCATGCAGCGCAGAGGAATATGAAAAGGAGAAAGAAGAGTCCCAAGGCTCTGACATTTTGAACCTGAGTGCCCAGCAGGGTGGGGCTGCTGTTATCTGAAATAGGGAAGTCACAGAGAGAAGCAGGAAACCTCCTCTTCCCTCTTTGCTCACCACATGCCTGTCCCTTCCCCAGCGACTTGGGCGTATGCGGCCTCAATCTATTTTGCATGCATGTCCTTTGCTTTTCACAGATCTGGACATGAGCTCAGATCCTGGGGCCTCAGTAAATCCCTCCAGGGCTGGGACGACGACCTTTCAGAGATGACATCAAGGGCTGTGCCTGGAAATGAGGCCATTTATGGAGCTGATTTTGAGTCCAAATCTGCTGTTTACTTTCAGCTTTACCTGTATAACTAAACGTCCAGGAAAAAGCAGTTGGACATGTGGAGCTTCTGCGAACTTTTTCAGTATCATCAGGAAAAGGCATGAGCAAACATCGCCTGATGAAGGAGCTCAAGTTCGCTTTTTGTGGCACTTGGAGGTCAGGCCCTTAGGACTCCATACTTAATCATGTTCTTTTTTGTTTGTTTTGAGATGGAGTCTTGCTCTGTCCCCCAGGCTGGAGTGCAGTGGCATGATCTTGGCTTACTGCAAGCTCTGCCTCCCGGGCTCACGCCATTCTCCTGCCTCAGCCTCCTGAGTAGCTGTGACTACAGGTGCCCGCCAACACGCCTGGCTAATTTTTTTGTATTTTTAGTAGAGACAGGGTTTTACCATGTCGCCCAGGCTGGTCTCCAACTCCTGACTTTAAGTGATCCGCCCACCTCGGCCTCCCAAAGTGCTGGGATTACAGGCGTGAGCCACTGCACCCGGCCAGGAATTACTTTTAGAATCATCATGTGAACCATTATCACTCTATACCTTGTTTTTTGACCCCAACTTGCCTTACCCACTATATAACTCAGGGCTCTTTTATTTACAAGTGACAAGAATTAAATTAAGTGAAAAAGCAAATTTATGGGCTCGTATAACTGGAAGGCTGGAGCATCTGGCCTCAGGTGTGACTGGATGCAGGAGCTCAAATGATGTCCTTGCATCTCCACCCTTTTCACTTCTCTCTGTAGGTTCAACTCATTCTTGATCACTGACAATGGACTTCCTGCATGCGCTACAAGCAACCCTCCCAGGTTAGTAACCCCAGGGAAAAGAGAGCCTGCTCCCACTTACCCCTTCTTCCCCACTCCCACCACCATTCATACCTCATTTCTGGGCAGGACTCTGATTGGTGCAAACTGAGCTATGTGCCCATTATTGGGCTTAAAAAAATAGGGAAAAAGCACATGTTCTGGGCAGGCAAAAATAGTAGTGGCCAGTGGCTACCTCACCTGCTTGGCCATCATCCTTGACGCTGCATAGACTCGAACTATTTCCCAAACCTACCCTGGTGCTTTGTTAGAAACACTGATTCTCAAGCCCCCATCCCAGGCCTACCAAGCCAGACCCCACAGTTTAACAAGATCCCCAGGTGATTCTTCTGTACCTTGAAGTTTGGGACAAGCTGAGTAAAAGGAGAAAGGGAGCAGGGCACAGTGGCTCACGCCTGTAATCCCAGCACTTTGGGAGGCCGAGGCAGGTGGATCACCTGAGGTCAGGAGCTCGAGACCAGCCTGACCAACATCGTGAAACCCCATCTTTACTAAAAAATACAAAAATTAGCTGGGTGTGGTGGCAGGTGCCTGTAATCCCAGCTACTCAGGAGGCTGAGGCAGGAGAATCGCTTGAATCCGGGAAGTGGAGATTGCAGTGAGCCAAGATTGTGCCATTGCACTCCAGCCTGGGTGGACAGAGCAAGATTCCGTCTCAAGAAAAAAAACAAACAAAAAAAGGAGATGGGCAATGGCTGTGAAGGAGCTTTCCAGAGACGAGCCTGAGCAGGTTCTGAGCATGGCAGCATGATGGTGGCAGGCAGCCAGCCTCCCCAGGTTAGCCCACAAGGAAGCAGCAGGCCTGGGTACTGCATGGATACCCCAGGCAGGGACTCAGAGACCAGAACTGGGGTACAAAGTCACAGCTAGCGTAAGCCATGACTCTGGTTCTGCTCAAACGTTGAACAGGCAACACCTTGAGTTCCCTGAGTGCAGCAGGCAGGGTGCCGTAACCTGGGTAGGCTAAGCCTGTGGAGGGTGTCTTCAGCAGCTTCTGCAGAGAAGAAAAGAAAGCTTTGAGGCCAGGAGAGTCCATTCCCAGAGTTTTACTGCGGGCAAAAGGTGAAATGACTTTTCTATTTTTTATTTTTTAATAAACTTTATAGTCGGTTGTTAAAGTGTTTCTGAAATTTGGATCCTGTCTAGTTGCAAATAGAGCCACTTCATGCATAAGAGTTTATGCAAAACACAATCATGCCTAGACAGACCACGCCCATTTCCAAGTGAGTTATTCATAGGAGTTAGATGTGGAAATTAGAGAAATTCTTAGTTGACTCCATCAGTTCCCATATCTTTTATTTATTTATTTTAAAGAGAGTATTCCTGTAAGGAGGGCTGCAGAAATGAAAGGCAATGGAAGTTTAATTAGATAGAAAGGTTTCGAGGCCTGGTGGTCTGGGCCAAAGACTGAAATTGCTTCCTGCCGCTTGGCTCAAGGCTCTGAGTCCTTTGCAAACCCAACATGGGACCATGACACCGGCCATAATGCCAGGTGCTGGGGAGCAGCTTCCCCCGGGACTCCAGGCTGTCCTGTCCTTTCATGGGCCTCTCGCGTGGTGTTCCTCACATGCATGCTCCTTTCAGGACTGCACCACAGCCCCACAGTCCTGTGAGACTGGAAGATGCTTTTGCTGTCAATAGAATTCCAAGCCCTAGAGTGTGGGGGTTATGGAAACAGGTTCTAAAATCAGACACACTGAGTTCAAATCCTTTTTTTTTTGCCACTTATTAGATGCCTGATGTTGAGTGGCTACATAACTTTAGTCTCCTCAACTACAAAATAGGGTTAGTGATAGGTTGGTTATGAGGATTACACAAGAAAGTGTACAGGAAGTAAGGAGGTAGAGGTTGTGTCATTTTCCTAATCATATTCTGAGCTCTTGGCCCAGCACTTAACCAAATGTTAAAGCAGTTAGCTCTGCTCAGAACATGGCAAGCACTTAATCAATAGGAGCTATTATTATTATTATTTAGTGTCTATAATAAAGTTTTATTAGAACATAGCCATACCCATTTGTTCATACATTGCTACAACAGCAAAATTGAGTATTTACAAGAGATCATATGGCCTGCAAAGCCAAAATATTTATTACAGGTTGAGTACCCCTAATTTGAAAATCCAAAATCTGAAGTGCTCCAAAATTCAAAACTTTTTAAGTGCTGACATGGTGCTCAAAAGAAATGCTCATTGGAGCATTTTGAATTTTAGATTTTTAGATTAGGAATGGTGAACCAGTATAGATTGCAAATATTCCAAAAATCCCCAAAAATTCAAAATCCAAAACACTTCCGGTCCAAAACATTTCAGATAAAGGATACCCTTGTCTGGTCCTTTATGCAAAACATTTACCCCAGTTCTATCTGACAACTTGGAGTTTTCCTTTGTGTTTAAAGGTTAAAACAGGAAAACAGGATGTGAATAGTGAGGTATAATATTTTTGTTTCATAAGTGTAAATTTTAGTTCATACATGAACATTTTTTCTAATTTTGAATTGTATATCTAAACTTCAAAGTTATTCTTCTTGGCCAGGCGTGTGGCTCACGCCTGTAATCCCAGCACTTTGGGAGGCCGAGGCAGGTGGATCACCTGAGGTCAGGAGTTTGAGACCAGCCTGGCCAACATGGCGAAGCCCTGTCTCTACTAAAAATACAAAAACGAGCTGGGCGCGATGGCAGGCGCCTATAGTCCCAGCTACTTGGGAGGCTGAGGCAGGAGAATTGCTTGAATCAGGGAGGCAGAGGTTGCAGTGAGCCAAGATCCTGCCACTGCACTCCAGCCTGGCAAACAGAGCGAGACTCTGTCTCAAAACAAAACAAAAAAAACGACAAAAAAGAAAGTTATTCTTCTCTTTTGTTTGAAAACAACAACAGCAACTAATGATTAATACTGCTGTACATTGTATTCTTGTACTAGGGCTGCCATAACAAGACTGAGTGGCCTAAACAACAGTAATAGAAGCTATTTACTATTCCTGAACGGTTGTTTGATTTTGTATGGTGCCTTCCCTCAAGATGCTGCTTAGTAAGCGCACGCTCTCCATTCCCATGGCATGAATATCAATTAACATTACTTTAGTCTTGAGAATCTTATGACGTTTCTTTCTCGAGATAATTGGAGACATCCTTAGGTTTTGGAGAAATGTGGAGTCCAGAAAGAATTTACAATTACAATATACATTTATTGGTCTTGATCACATTAATAAGAAGGGACTGCCACTCCCCATTCATTTTTTCAGGTTCCCACGGCTCCTCTTGTAATATCTCTTTCTGTGCACAACCAAACAGGACTTGGGGGACTTGAGTTAGGGATTCCTCAAGAATTTTGGAAGTAGGTTTATGTTCACACACAAGGATTTGTATTCCTGGTTTGGGTTCATTTTTCCTCCATTCATTCAGCACAGTTGTTGGGAACCTTGTCTCTGGAAGGCAGGGTGCCATGCGCTGCAGGTGAGAAAAAAAAAAGCCAGCCATCCCATTACTGGGTATATACCCAAAGGATTATAAATCGTGCTGCTATAAAGACACATGCACACGTATGTTTATTGCGGCACTATTCACAATAGCAAAGACTTGGAACCAACCCAAATGTCCAACAACGATAGACTGGATTAAGAAAATGTGGCACATATACACCATGGAATACTATGCAGCCATAAAAAATGATGAGTTCATGTCCTTTGTAGGGACATGGATGAAGCTGGAAACCATCATTCTCAGCAAAGTATCGCAAGGACAAAAAACCAAACACCGCATGTTCTCACTCATAGGTGGGAATTGAACAATGAGAACACTTGGACACAGGAAGGGGAACATCACACACCGGGGGCTGTTGTGGGGTGGGGGGAGGGGGAGGGATAGCATTAGGTGATATACCTGTTAAATGATGAGTTAATGGGTGCAGCACACCAACATGGCACATGTATACATATGTAACAAACCTGCATATTGTGCACATGTACCCTAAAACTTAAAGTATAATAATAATTTTAAAAAAAGCCAGTTTTACATAATGAGCTTCTCCTCCATGCCTCTACCTTAACCCAGTTCCGTGGCCATGCTTGGGAACTAGCATTCAGGGTCCTACCCATCTTCCCTGGACTCGGCACAGTCTCCCTTCTTCAAAACTTCCCCAACTGCCTGAAAGCCAATGATTCTACAATCTGTATCTTTAGTCCTAAACTCCTTTCCCAACCAATGACTCAAATGCTCAAGTCTTGGGGAGAAATTCACAGGATGTTGGCTGCGCTTCCATCTCAGGTGTCTTTTGTGTATCTTCTTTGTGAACGTCAAACCAGTTTGGTTTCACGAGAATTTTTGCAGGGCTGTGAAGATCGAGGTTGGGTGTGTTTGTTTATTGGTTTCCTCACCTGCAGTTTTTCCTGAGTGTGCTTTGGACACTTCTTTAGTGATTTGCCCAAGCAGGCCTCTTCCTCTAGAACGTTCTGCTCCTCTTGCTTCCCTGCCCTCTGTTTAATAATGTGGCCCATCCCAGAAGGTTTTGTTCACATGTTTCTCTGAGAGATGTCTTTTTAGCACAGCCCTGCTTGCACCAGAATAATCCCCTCTTGTTTAGCTCTTTGGAGTGTGCATTGCCTGAATCTCTCAGGGTTCTGGGCTCCCAGTGTCTGTGTCAGGGTTACCTGTGCTTGCTCAGTCTCCTCTACAGCTGGCAAGTTCCAGAAGCACTGGGAACATCCTGGATGTTCCATCTCACCGAGCCTCCAGCAAACTTTTCATTAGCTGGGTGACCTTTGGCAAATGACTTACCCTCCCTTTATCTGTGAAAAGGGGATCTTATAACCCAACTCACAGAATAATTCATCCAACAGTCTGGCTCAGTGCCCCACACATACTCAGCATTTGACGCGCTTTTATTTTCCTTCTTCATTCTCTGTGCTGCTTAGATGTTCGGTAAATATTTCCTGAATGAATGCATTAATTAATAAATATATACATAGGATGATTTTCCATTCCAAAGTGCTCACAGCCCTGTTAATGTTTCTCTTCATTGAAGCTGATGACATTATTATGTAAAAGACAATGGTAACTATGAACTATTTCTCCTTCCTGGTATTGTTCAGGACTTGAGGTAGGAAAAAAGAGTAACTCAACCTGTGTAAACACTAGCTATAATTCTTTGAAGCTTTTGCAAGCCTGATAGAAGAAAAAGCCTATCTGTTGTTGTTTTAATTTGCATTTCTCTGATTACCAGTGATTTGAAGCACTTAAGGAAAAACAATAGAAATATGCTTTTTAAACTACTTGAAGGCTACTCGCGGTTTAAAAAGCCCCATCCCAGGCCTACTGAGCACTGAATTTAGAATGGCTAGATATGCATGCTCGTGCCATCAAATTCCCAAGACTGCTCAGGTTGTGAGGTCACACAGAATGCTGTAGACGAGTTGTGTGGCCAAAGAAGAATGGTGTTTCAGCCAGGGCAGCTCCCTGGGAAGCCCAGGAAGTGCCTACCTACATGATCCTCAGACCGGCCCACATGATGCTTTACCCTCTTTCAGTAGCCATAAAGCTCCACAGACATTTCCTCCTTAGAAATCTTTCCTAAGCCCCTACCTATGGCCGAGTTCCCGGAGCCATCTCACCTCTCTGGTAGAATCCTTGAGCATGCCTCTCCTGGCCAGAGTCAGAACTGAACTCCTCAAGACCCGGGAAATGAGTGGCCTACCTCCTTCCACGCAAGACCCATGGCCTAGGTGCCCACATCTGAGTTCAGGACAGAACTTTTCCCAAGGTGGGGTACAGTGAGAGCAAATATGCTCTCCCATGGGGGCTGGCCTGCTACCTGCAGAGCCCAACCTGAGCCTCGGCCTCCCTTGGAACAGCCTTCAGGCCACAATGAACTGGGCTATTCAGTCTTGGAGAACGCTCCTTGTGGGACTTTTGTAGAATGGTCAGAAAGGGCTCTGGCAACCCTTGTCTGGTCTTTTCTGGGGAGTCTTGCCTGCCTAAAGTGATGATGGGCTTCCTCCATCCCCCCAGTCTCTGCTCTCCCTCTCCTGTGAGCTAGCACTTGAAAAATAAATGGAAAAAATATATACCAACCAAGAGCTGAACATAATTTTCAGAGACTGTATAATCTAAACCCATTTGTAGAAAAGTAAGAACTGAGTGTGCCCATCCTGAACAACCTTTTATGTGATTATGCACCACAATTTGATCAAGTGAGCTCAAAGCTTCCCATTCTGGAACTGGATCTTTGCTGTACCTTTGCTCAACCAAAAGGCCCACTGAAGTGTATATTTCTAATATAAGGTAGTAGAGATGAATTCCAAAAATCTATATCTCTAGATAAACTCGTTCACAATAAAAGATGCTGGCTTTTTCTTGGCTTCTAACCATCAAAATTACACACATGTCAGTAGGTAGGTAGGTGGGTAGGTAGATATTGAAAGATAGATAAATGGATAGATAGATAAACATAGATACAGAAAGATAGCAATAGATAGATGATTGATAGAGCAATAGAAAGAGATAGAGAGATAGAGATAGAGATAGATAAGATGACTGACAGATATAGAAATAGACAGATGGACAGACAGATGGACAGACAGACAGACAGATGGACAGATAGATGAAGATAGATAGATAGATAGATAGATAGATAGATAGATAGATAGATGTGCTGGTTTCAGCCAGGTTCCTTGAGTCCACATACAAACATGCACCACATTATTCATTGTTGTTTCTAGTAATGATTCAGTCAGGCAGGAACAAACCAAGGTGGGCATCAGATATGGGTTCAGGACACCTCTGAGGAGGATTATCACCTGCTGAGTGAGGACTATACCACTCATACTTGAATAACAGAGACAGAGGAATCTTCAGCCAAAGGTGAAGGCTTCGAGGATTGCTATCAGCCTAGACCTTGACCCATCTCACTAGATAGCAAAGCAATCAATAATCTGTGAAGAAGCAGACACTGACTTTGTTTCTGAGAGAAATACAAAAAAGGGGAAGCAAAAACAGGAACCCACCTTTATCTCATGTAGAAAGAGCACTGCTAGAATGTAATCAATATCATGTAGGGTGGTAAAGTGTGGCCAACACCTTCAAACATCTTTATGAGAGAAGCACTGTGACCTCAGATGACGAATGGGCTGGGGTGGTTTAACGTAGTAACGAATGACCTGGTTGCAATTCTGGTTGTGACACTTACTAGCTGAGTGATCTTGGGTACATTCACACCTCTGGGTCTCAGTTTACACCTCAGCGAAATGGGGATAATAGTTGCTACATTAGCTATTGCATAGGGCTTTGGTGAAGAGCAAATGATGTAATTAATAAAAAGTGCTTAGAATGGTGCTTGGCACATAGAGAAAGCCCCTCAAAGCTTCAGAACTTAAATGGAGAGGCCTGGCTACAGGTGGCTGCGGGTGCCAGAAGAGGGGGAAGGTGCTCTGATGAGGAAACCAGGCAGCTTTCAGGGAAGCTCCATCTTGCAGTTTTTGATCTTTTGTTACGAAAATGTTTCATCACGCAGCACTATAGAGAGAACAGTTTAATGGACACTTAACCCATTTCTTGGCTATATCCACTGTTAACATTTTACCATATTTACTTTATCTATTAAAAAATTTTACTAACATATTTTAAAGCAAATTACAAATATCATTACATTTCATCCCTAAATGCTTCACTGTGTGTCTCCAAAACATAAGGACATTTCCTTTCAGAACCATAACATCATCATCCTATCTAACAAATCAATAATTCCCTAATCTAACACACAGTATATTGGAGTTTTTTGTTTTGCTTTGTTTTGTTTTGTTTTTGAGGTAGTGTCTTGCTGTGTTGCACAGGCTGGAGTATGGTGGCATGGACATGGCTCAACTTCCTAGGCTCAACCAATCCTCCTTCCTCAGCCTCCTGAGTAGCTGGGACCACAGGAGCATGCCATAATACCTGGCTAATTTTTTAAAAAATCTTTTTTGTAGAGTTAGTGTTTCACCATGTTGCCCAGGCTGGCAACTTGAAATATTTTTGATTTCAAAAAAGACTATGCTGGAATGGAGACCATTTTGTAGACAAGATGTAAGTCACCATATGTGGGAAAGAATGCTCTGGGTACTAGGATAAAGAAAGCAATGTATCAATTGGCCACTGTTCCCTTGTGGAAGTTTACCCTCTGCATACTCGCGGAGAAACATAGCCTGGCCTGAGATCCTTAGTGTGAACGAGCTCATTACAATTTGCTTCTTTTGAAAGGAGGAAAACATGTTTTTGAAGGCTGCTTGACAGACAAGGAGGATATTAATAAATGACATGCAAATTTCTTAATTTCACTTTGGCTGGCTATGTGATTGCTGCTTCTGAAATACAGGATGGTGATGGAGCTTCTTTTTCAGTAAGATTTCTTGAGCTCTGAATATATGTTGGGCTGTCCAGCCTAACTTGCCTGATAGCGGGGTGGGGATTATTCTGACCTGAGAGGGGTGCAGTAAGGACACATCTGAATGAAAATTGGCCCTAAATAAAAAGTAGAGAGTTGAATTTTGAGGCTGTTTCTTGGGTGGATAGACTGTAAAGATCTGACTGAAAAGCTGCTTAAAGTTCTTTTTATAGCTCTGTTGCTCACACATGAGAAAGCGATTTCATTGATTGGCCTTTTGCACTTAACTTTTGTCTTCTGGTTGTTTTTCTATTTCTCCCTTTGACTCTACACGTTGATAGGAGGATCCACCCGCCTTGGTCCCAGCATGGGTGCTCCGGGATGCCCAGCTCAAACAACCCTTCCCTCTTCTCCCAAGAACAGGTGTGAGAGCCCCTCCCCATCCCGCTATGGGAGACCCAGGGGTGCCCTTTGGTCTCCATGTTGGATGGTGAGAACCCCACAGTATAGGGTAGTGGTCAAGGGCATGGGTTCTGGAACAAGACTACCTGGACTCAAAACCTGCCTTCGCCACTATTCCTGGTTCCCTTTTCCCAAGGGCAGGGAAGAGGAGCCCTTCAAATATGCCATTCTCTTATATTTACCTCATTGAGAAAATATTCTCATTTGCTCTGGAAAAGACTGTCCTTCCCCAAGAATGAGTGACCCACTTTCTTATGTAATGAAGAAAAGTAGCAACTAGAAATTGGGGGTGAATGTGGATACAAGATGAACATTTGTATCCTGCTAGCTGTTCTTAACTCCCTGGTTTACTTCGTTTTGGTAGAAGGAATTCACTTTCATCTCCCCTTCTTTTAATAGGTATTTTCTCTTGCCTGTGGATTTTGTGTACTTAGAATAAAAAAATCACAATATCCCAGTTTCAAGATAGAAAATGACTGGTTATGTAGAGGAGCATTTTTATGAGATCCGAAGGTCATAACCAAGCATAGGCCAAATACAATTTGATTATGTACAGCTATTATTTTAAAAAAGTAGCCCAGCATTTATAAATCCCTGTAGTGAGATTTGTAAGTCATACTGTGCAATCTTCCATAAATTTAAAATCAAATCACCAGCTTTAAGCAAATCATGAGCTTTGAATAATCTGTAAAGTAGTGCTTGTAGATGCCAGTCCTGACTTTGAAATATGTGAATATTGAGCCTTACCTGCAGCCCATTGACATTGTTCAAAAGTCTCCTGAGCCCATGAGTCCTGAACAAAGAACTTCCCAAATAGGAGCATGGCGAACAATGCCGGGCATAATTCTAGGGAGGTCTTTAAGCTGGTCAGGAGAATAGAATTTTTTACAAGATTGAGAGCCGGGAAGAAGTGCTGAGAAGTGTAGTCAATTGTTTAAATCATTGGAAACAGGGAATTTAAGTAGCCTTGTGTAACATTCAGCATGAGAAGAAAGAAGCGTAAATGACAGAGTCAAGGAATCTCTTCCCTTACTTAGCTATAAATGAAAGGTATGTATTTTATCAGGAGCCATATGGATGAGCCACCTTACTGGTAATGCATGCTAATGATTTCATTAAGTACCATTAGGTTGGAATAAGAGGATACAGCTGTAATCTTACTCTTTTCCTCATTCAAGGCCATAGGCATCACAGACCTTGGGACCTGGTGGCCCTTGTTCAGATGCCACATTACTGTAGCCACTGGTTGGCTGCAAACCCAGTGGAAAACCATTTGCATTGTTTGGAAGGATGGATTCTGACTTTTCTTTCCATTTTTTTTTGGGGGGGGACTCATTCAAGCCTTCCATCTCAGCCTCCTGAGTAGCGAGGATTATACCACCATGCCCAGCTATTTATTTATTTATTTATTTATTTTTGAGACAGAGTTTCACTCCTGTTGCCCAGGCTGGAGTGCAATGGCTCAATCTCTGCTCACCCCACAACCTCCGCTTCCCAGGTTCAAGCGATTCTCCTGCCTCAGCCTCCCGAGTAGCTGGGATTACAGGCGTGTGCCACCACGCGCGGCTAATTTTGTATTTTTAGTAGAGACGGGGTTTCTCCATGTTGGTAAGGCTGACCTCGAACTCCCGACCTCAGGTGATCCGCCTGCCTCGGCCTCCTAAAGCACTGGGATTACAGGCAGGCATGAGCCACCGCACCCGGCCGGATCCTGACTTTTATACAGGTACCAAGATTCCTTACCAGGTCCCAGCCACTGTGACGGATACTGCTAATTGTTCACCCAACATCTCCATCTCCCTCAGGCATCCTTACTTAGAAAGCCCAATTTTATATGGGGTAGCAACATAGCTCACAGGGCTCTTTTTCTCAGCCTTTGTGCAGCTGATGGAATCCATTTAATACAGTTCCAGTCTTGAGATATGGGAAGAGGTCCTTGGAGAACATGTACTTTTTAAGTCAAAAGACTAAGCTTTACCAAGGGGAAGCTCTCTTTTCACCCTTTGCTCTTCCTCCTAGAATGCAGATGTCAAAATATACAGATGACATTCAGTAAATGAGATGGAAAGCCTGACGATGTTAAGAATAAGTGAGGAGTAGAAAGATGAAAAGAACCTGGGTCCCCGAGAACATCTCACTGAGCAGCCAGACCTGCCCTGACTACAACCCCCACACTTCTTTCCTGTGTGAGAAAGCAAGCCCTGGTTCTTTCCGTTTCTATAGCAATGTTTTCTGTTACGCGTAGCCAAATGCATTCTTAACTGATACCAATCCAAAGAGAGATTCTTCCAGAAAACCTGAACCAAAGTCACATAGTGATTTATTAACTTCTAGAAAATAACACATTTTTAGCCTTAAAAAAATCCAGTTTAAAGAAAACTTTTTTTCTGCATTTCTTTTTTTTTTTTTTTAAACCAGGTGATTTCAGATATCAATAATATTTCCAGTGTGTGAGGAGGAGCAACAGTTCTGTGCTTTTGACAATGTATTACTTCCATCCTTCTATTATCACCATCTTAATGAAAAAAGCAAGTTGACTGTGATATTTCTGCTTAGTGTCCCTGCTCTCTCTTGCTGCCAAAGCCCTTTGGCATTGACGGCTGAACAACCCAGCACCCCACAAAAGGTCCTATTACTTTAGTTTATATAGCACGACCTTGACCACATGCCAGATAGAGAGGGAAAGCATAAGGAACAGCATCAGATGCCCTCGTGTACATTTTATTAATTTTAAAATGTCTTCATTTAATTAAAAAATAAAAATTGGCCATGTGTGTTTTAGTAGTCTTCCCAGAAATAAAACCAACTTTAAAGGGAGTTTGCTTGTCCTGAGACGCCCAGAAACATTTTTAGCCACACTCCAATGGAATGGCGATTTGTGTCAAAGTCCAAGTGAACCTGCCCGAGTCATTCTCCAGTATAAATGGGCTAGGGCCAGTCTTTGTTTCAACCTCAGTAATTAAATCATGTGGTCAGATATAAAGTGAGAACTAGAAACTAGACCAGAATATTTGTATGGGCACCCAATAGACTTTTCCATCTGTATTAACTGTGAGATAATCCCAAAGTGGGACACATATCGCCTGAAAATAGAGTGCATGCGACTATTCCTGAAGTCACAGGCCATTAAGTCTGGGCCATGCATTGACCATAGCTTGACGAGGGCTTAGGTCATGCACCACCTTGCATTGTGTCTTGGCCACTGTCAGTGATATCAGCTGTTGGTCTCAAGATGGCTAATCCGGGTCATTAAGGTTTAAAGACTAGTTTCACCTGACTGGTCAAACAAGTTTTGTTGGGTCCTGAAAATCCAGAAAATAGAAAAAAAGTCAACAAGCATAAATCCCTAGTCCAAGGGGCCAGAGGCATGTTTGAGATAGCTAGAGGACCTTATCAAGGATTGGAGTGGAATTATTAATGCAGCAGATTTTTCTAGAGCTTGCAAGTTTTCCTGAGCACCCCTAGTTAAAGAATTCTAATACCTCTTTTGAAGAAAGCCCATTTCAAGCTTACCTGACTAGCACTTCCAGATTTAAAGAGCTCTGCATCCCTTGCCAGGGAGCTTTCTACAACTGGAGGAGACTAGTAGAGAATCCGAAAGTTTTGGAACCCTGATTTGGACAGACTATCACCTCCTTGCTGCTCAGAGTGGCCCCAGTCCTATAAGTCCTGACAATCTACACTGGAGACATGGAGAGAGCCACAGGATAAATCTGGAGTATTTTCCTGGAGCATTAATTCTGCTTGATGGTAAATAACCAAGAACACTTTTAGGCTTAAACAGTATATTGTGGAGTATAATACAACATTTACATGACGTTTAAGAATGAACACAAGCTTTCAAAGAAGCCTGCCTTTTTGTTGGGTTATGTTAGGCACTCAGATTGACTCTGGTCTGTGCCAGTAGGTGCTCCAGTGGGAAAGGTTTGAAAGGGTAAAGGGGTGATGGTGCTTATCTTTCTCTGCCTAGCACTTTCCTGAACAATGCAGGAGAGAACAAGGACAAAAGAAAAAAGCCACTCAAGATCTCATCCTCTGAAGAAAACCACACATGACATCTTGGGGAACATCTTTCAGGATACCTCCCAATGCATACATACAATGCCGGAGTGTGGATTCCCTTCTACATAAAGAGGATCATACTTGTGTGCTTTACAACACACAGGAAACTTCTAAAATTTGCAGATCAGCTTGATTTAAGTTGACTCAAATAAATTAAGAGTTTCAGATACCTACTCATAGCAAACAAGGTCACATACCAAGGTGAATAGACAAAGCCTTTTACATCTAAGAGGAAATAAATACTCTCTTTCTCTCTCTCTCTTTTTTTTGAGATTGGGTCTTGGGTCTTGCTCTGTCACCCAGGCTGGAGTACAGCACAGTGGTGTGATCATACAGTCACGTACCTCACTGTACCCTCGAAGTCCTGGATTCAAGTGACCCTCACACCTCAGCCTCCTGAGTAGCTGGGACTACAGGCCTACTCCTGGCTACTGTGGCATCACCACACTTGGCTTTTTCTTTTCTTTTTATTTTTTAGAAACAGGATCTTGTTATGTTGCCCAGGCTGGTCTCAAAACTTGTGGCCTCTACCGATCCTCCCTTTTTGGCCTCCCAAAGTACTGGGATTGCAGGCATGAGCCACCGCACCCAGCCTCTTTCTTTTATTTTTAAAAACAACAAGAAATAGGACTTATGGATGCTCAGTAAGTGATGGTTGGATGCATTCCAAGGCTGGAAGGTAAGAGGCCATCATCCTCTAGGTTAGAAGGAACCTGTCGAAAGGAAAGGGCTTTCGAGTCTTTTTGGTTGAGAGGCCTGGACCCACCAGGGCATCTCTTTTCAGCATCTTGGTGGTTTCACCATTGCTGACGGTCTCCCATGAGCATTCAGGGCTGGGATGAGACCTTGGATGAAGAACCTAGAGAGCTGAACCCATCCTGTGAGCCCAGATGAGTGGAGCAGGGCAGGGAGGCAGGAGAGGCATCCATGGAGGTCCTGGGGTACAGCTGCTGCCGAAATGGCCAGGATGTCTATGGCAGGAAACCCAGCCTCAGACACACCTGCCCAGCCTGAGGGTGTGGGCTTCTTTGAGCAAAAGCTTTGTTCTGAGAGTGACTGTGCAAGGTAGTTCTATAAACAGTGGCAGAACTTCAGATGGGGATTAAAGCCCCAAACCTCTCTCCTCTGTGTGTACTGCTAGAGGGGACAAGTCTGGGCCTGCCCTCTGCCTGGATTTCCAGTGCCTGTTAGAGCTCTCTCTCTCTCTCTCTTTCTTTCTCTCTCTCTCACACACACACATGCACACATACACTGCTTATACTACCCTGAGTATAGTCTGAGTGCCTAGAAATTAGGAAGCACACATCAGATTAAGACACTGGCCTTTGAATCAGCCGGGATAGGGTCACAGCTCTTACATCTCTAAGCCGTAAGACCTTGGTCACCTTACTCAGCTCATCTGCAAAATGGAGAAACCAGCTCCTCAGGCAGTGAGGATTAGATTACACTCATGTTTGGCAAGTGCATCGCGGAGTGCCTGGATCAGAATGAGTGCTCCATAGACGGAAGCTACTAGAAAAATCGACTTAAGGGCTCACCTCATCAAGCTCCAGACTTCTTGAGCTGAGAACTTAGTTGCTGTTAGGTGTCCAAACATACTTTCTTTTTCTTTCTTTCTTTTTTTTTTTTGAGACAGTCTCACTCTGTTGCCCAGGCTGGAGTGCAGTGGCGTGATCTCAGGTCACTGCAACCTCTGCTTCCCGGGTTCAAGTGATTCTCCCACCTCAGCCTCCTGAGTAGCTGAGACTACAGAAGCCTGTCACCACGCTCATCTAATTTTTGTATCTTTAGTAGAGACAGGGTTTCACCATGTTAGCCAGGCTGGGCTCAAACTCCTGACCTCAAGTGATCTGCCTACTTCGGCCTCCCAAAGTGCTGGGATTATAGGCGAGAGCCACCATGCCCAGCTAAATATACTTTCTTCACTAATGGAAGAAGGTCTTACTCCTAGTTGGCCCAAGTTGAGTGGAGACACACATGTTCACACAGCTGCATGCACACTGCTTGAAGGGTTGTCAGATGTGCATACTACCCATGGCAACAGTGAATACTTAACAATGAATAACCCTTGACACCTTGGCCCCTGCTGCACTTGCTCCCCAAAGCCTTCCTTCTGGGGTCTGACCGCTCCCACAGGTACACGGCTACCCTCTCCCTTTTCGGTTCTCTATGTTGGTCTTGGCTCCAACTAGTCTCTGAATTCAAGCAACTAGGATCTATGCTTATATATCCCTGTTGGACTCTGGCCCTGCACGTTGGTTAGGGGCGGTATAGCTTACTGGCTAAGAACACAGGATTTATATTCAGACAGCAGTAGGTTTAAATTCCAGCTCTGCTATGACCCACAGATAAAACTGGGTGCAAGTATTTTCAGCCTTTGCGCATCTCAATGTCCTGGACACTAAAATGGGGGTAATAATGGTATTGAAAGGTTCTTTTTTTCTTTTATCTTCCATGCCCCGATTGTTGGACGAAAAGGGTTCTTATAACAATTTAAATTAGTAATATTTATAAAGCATGTGGTAGATACCAAATAAATATTAGCTATTGTTAATTTCATTAATAGATTTAAAAAATTAATTTAGTGCTAAAAATAAAACGTGACAGGATGGATGACTCTGGACTTACAGAAAGAAGAAACCAAGGGTACACCTCAGACTCATTCTTATGTTTTATTATTTATTTATTTGAGACAGAGTCTTGCTCTGTTGCAAGGCTGTAGAGCAGTGGTGCGATCTCGGCTCACTGCAACCTCCGCCTCCCAGATTCAAGTGATTCTCCTGCCTCAGTCTCCCCAGTAGCTGGGACTACAGGCACCTGCCGCTAAGCCCAGGTAATTTTTGTATTTTTAGTAGAGATGGGGTTTCACCATGTGGGCCAGGATGGTCTTGATCTCTTGACATTGTGATCTGCCCGCCTCGGCCTCCCAGAGTGCTGGGATTACAGGCGTGAGCCACTGCGCCCGGCCGGCTCATTCTCATCTTTAAGGTGGGTTCGGAGAAAGGAGATGGAAATGGCCTTCACTCTGGCAAAGAAGGACGGAAAAGTCCCTGGTGACTCATTGGGACGTACTGCTTTGCTCAAGGCTCCTATTGTCATCTTGAGGCAAGTTCTGCTTTCCAAGACCATTGCCTGAATACTGTTTATGATACTTTTTGAGGAAAGGCATTCATTCATACAAGGTAAATGAATTACTGTTATGCAAAGTAGGAAACCCACAGCAGTGTTTGGAGTCCTTTTGGACAGTCTCTTTCTTTTAAAAAATTATGTCTCTTAATTCTTATTTATTTGGTATCTTTTCTTTTCTCCACTGTTTCTAGAAAAAACAAAATGCATGGCCAGTGCACGGTGGCTCACACCTGAAACCCCAGCACACTGGGAAGCCAGGGAGGGCAGATGGATTGAGCCCAGGAATTTGAGAGCCTGAGCAACATCGTGAAACCCCATCTCTACAAAAAATACAACAAATTAGCTGGGCGTAGTGGTGGACACTTGTAGTCCCGGTTACCAGGGAGGCTGAGGTGGGAGGATCACCTGAGATCGGAGGTTGAGGCTGCAGCGAGCTGTGGTCATGCTACTGCATGGCAGCCTGGGTGACAGAGTGAGACCCTGTCTTGAAAAAAAAAAAGGAAAAAAATGCAGCCTCCACTATGTTAGATCATGTAACTACTTAAAACTCTTCTAGTGTTTTCCATCCCACTCAGGACGTAATGCCAAGTCCCTGCAACAGCCCATGGAGCCCTGCAGGGCTAGGCCTCTCCACGCTCGGGTGGCCTGCTTCCTACCCACTCTGCTTGGTTGCTCTCCTTCAGCCACACTGACTTGCTTGTAGTTCCTGGAATGCGTTGAGCAAACATTCCCACAGGGCCTTTGCACATACTGCTCCCCGGCCTGGAATGTTCTTACCTCCGGTGTCCTCATCCTCAGTCCCTCACGTTTCTCAGGTCTCCATTCAGAGGTCATTTTATCCAATGGGACCTTCCTGACAACCCTATCTAGCACCAGCCACCCTGTCACTCTGTCTCCTTACCCCATTTGGCCTTCCTGCATCGCACTTATTACCTCCTAAAGTGTGTGTGCATGTGTTTAATTGTCCAACTTCTCCCGCTAAGATGTAAGCTCCTTGAGGACAGAGATTGTACTTAGCTCGCCGCTTTGGACCTAGCTCCCAGCACCATCCTGACGGTCAGTGGGCACTCAGTAAATACTGAATGAATGGATGTTGAGTGAATGATGACAACCTGACTCTCCAGACTGTGCATGTGAGTGCAGAGGAGGGACTACTTTGCAAATGTACTTCACTCTGAGAGGCCTCAGATGCTCTGTAATCAGTGCTGACTCACTCCACCGACGAGAAGACCCCAGTTGGGTAGTCAGCTTCCTTCACCATGACCTTGGCCTCTGTGACTGTTTTAAGTACTAAGCCTGAAACAAAGCATAGGTCCCAGACGAGCTGATGAGTTCCCAAGAGAAGGTCTTGCATATCCCACCGGTTCAATACATGTTTGAACAAAAGTGCTAAAGGAAAAGGGGGAGGACATGGCTATGGAAAAACAGACCTTATACGGTATGTGCTAGTTTAGTTTTCTTTGCAAGAGAGTTGGGACAGAGGATTTCTCAGAGTCAAAGGAAATACTTTCGATGACCTCCTACCTTACTTTCCTTCTCCTTGGTATTTTATGTGATATTAGGAAATCAGAGAGGGCTTTATTCTCTATTAATCAGAGTATATCTTGGAAGATCAAGAAGATGTTCAATGCCCTTCTCACTATTCAATCACAAACTTCCACCAAGATAAAAAGATGAAAGTTACTTCTTACAGAGATGGATTTTTAATAGTGCTTTTTTTAAAAAAGTAAGTGCTCTTTGTAAGGAAAGGAACAGTCAAGTAATGCAGAAGAGAACAAGGAAGAAAGAAAAATGATCAGTCAAGATCTTATCCCGTGAAGAAGCTGCAGTAACATTTTTGCAAACATCTTTCAGGATACCTCTCAATATATACGCAACGTAGATGTGTGGATTCCCTTTCACCTACATGGGATAATATCATACAATTTATATAAACTGATTTCTTTGCTTGATACTATATTATGGGGGCATCTTTCTATGTGTGAATCTTTATTTTTTCTTTTTTTCTCTTTAGTAGCTTTTTTTTTTTTTTAAATAGAGAGAAGGTTTTGCCGTGTTGGCCAGGCTGGTCTCGAACTCCTGACCTCAGGTGACCCACTGGCCTTGGCCTCCCAAAGTGCAGGGATTACAGGCGTGAGTCACCGTGCCCAGCCCATTTTTAATAGCCTTTAATGGAACAGTAGTATGGCATTGTATGTGTGACCTAGTCAGTTTTCTATTGATAGATATTTAGGTTGTTTCCAACTTCTTGCTGTTAGATAAGGTTGGATGAGCAACTCCATGGGTGTGGCTTAGGAGGCTCTTGTCTCAGCTGAATCTTTAGTAATCTCTGGCATTCCCACTCAGGAAATCCCAAAGCACTAGTGGCCAATGGTCCCTGTCTCCATGCCTAGCCAGAAAACACTGTCTTCAAGGCCCCAGTTCTTCATGTCAATCAAATTGGTTCTATTCATGTGTGGGGAGGCAGACTTGTTTGCTTATTTTTGTTTTCCTAAAAAAATTCAGCAATGCTTTTATATCGTACTTGGCATCAATTATTTGCACCCCTCTAGAATCCATCCCTTCATTTTCTGATGATAACAATTCCTGAGGAATTACCCCTCTCCCATTGCATAGAGTCTTGGTGAACCTGGAAGTGGAGGTGGCGGGGCAGTCATTAAAACCCTGTGCGGTTGCCTGCAACAGCCAGCCTCCACTCCATTCCTTCCCTCTCCTGCCTCCTCCCTCACTGCACAGCCTCCAGGTCACAGGTTTGGAAGCTACTGGGGTTGGCAAGAAAGCAACTCATAAGACTGAGCCGTATTCAACAGAGAGACACCAGGAAACCTGGAGAAGTGGGTGTGTGTTATCTCGGGGACCTTAAATATTCCCTTTCCTTTGCTTTGGGGCACAAGAGGAACATAAGCATGAAATAACAAACTTCAATGCTATGTGGTTTTGTTCTTTAAAATGTCGTCTCTTTTTTTCCCATCATTGAACTTGTCAGGGAGGCTTCTCTTGGCTAAACCCCACTGCGCTGGGTCAGAGCATGCCTCACTATTATTAACCTGTTCGACAGCTGAGGACGCTGAAGCACCCAGAAGCTACGTGACCCACCCAGGATCAGGTGGCAGCAGCCAAGCGTCCTGGGACTCGCACTCTAATGGCAGGCACTGCGCTTGGCTCGGGCTGAGCTGTCCTGGGGCACGCAGCAGCAGCAGCAGCAGCCAGGAAGCCCAGCTCCTGTTACAGGATGAGGTCTCAAGCTGGGGGCTGCTCTTCTTTCTCAGGTGTCAGTGTTAAAACAGCCACAGAAAGAGCTGTAGAAGAGCCCTTGGTGATTTTGCTTTGGAGGGTGTCTGGTCACAGAGTCTGCAGATAGGCGACGGCACTTTCATTATGTCTGTCACCATCGTGGGGGGATTAGGAGGCCCTAGGGTAGGGGACTGAATAGTTCACTGTGGCCCTCCACTGACAACACTAGGTACTGAAGGGTATCAGTTGTTCAACCTCAATTCTAGGGACAGAGGGGGTGGCGGCAGGAAGGAAATGCACCCTATTGAATGTCTACTCCCAGCCAGGCTTCGTTTGGGGTGCCTTCCTGTAGATTGTTTCATGGACTCCTCATGTCAACGCTGAGAGCTCAATCAACAACTTCAGCTTCTCTCCTCCTCTTCCTCCTCCTCCTTTGGGTTGACGAAATCAGATCATCAGAGCTGCTAAGCAGAAAGTAGCCATTATAATATGATGGAGACAGAATTTTAACTCATGGATGTTTTGGGTCCAAAGTTAAGCTTTTCCCTGTTACTATCCCGGCCCTCAGTAGCACCTCGGGACAGGCAGAGTTTTGCCCCGAATCCCTCTGGAGTGAGAAGCCTTTCTGGAAGGAGCACTGCCGAGTCTCATAGACCCCGGTCTATGTCATAGACCCCTAGACACTGGCTTCTGCTCCCATCTGATGGGTCATCTGAGCAGAACAATGTCAAAAGTTGGTGTTTTCTCTGAAACTCTGAGTCTCCCTCCAGACTGCGGTTGGCTCAGGGCACCATTTTGGCTGCAATCCCGCAGAGTTTCATTTTCACTTTTTTATTGAAAAATCGAGATCTGGGGAATTAGAGCCTTTCCATATTGATTTTCCAGGGGCAAGTGAAAATTACATTCTGTACAGGACCAAGAAAGTGCCACCTTTTGTGGCA
The DNA here is from genome assembly GCF_000001405.40 of Homo sapiens. NCBI lineage: Eukaryota > Metazoa > Chordata > Mammalia > Primates > Hominidae > Homo > Homo sapiens. The sequence continues at coordinate 244,233,456 of NC_000001.11, read as the reverse complement.
ACAGGGCTGACGGTGGTGATGACGTGCAGGAAGGGGGACGATGGGGCAAACAGACATAGTTTCCATGTAATTTTTTTTCAAAGTGAAAAGGTAAAAAAACTAATTTGGGTTCGTATAAAATGACTTCTGGAATTACAATTTTATTTATTTATCTGTTTATTTGTTTTTATTTATTTATTTAGTTAGTTTGTTTGTTTGTTTGAGACAGGGTCTCACTCTCGTTACCCAGGCTGGAGTGCAGTGGTGCTATCTCAGCTCACCACAGCCTCTACTTCCTGGGCTCAGGTGATCCTCCCAGCTCAGCCTCCTGAGTAGCTGGGACTACAGGCGTGCGCTACCATGCCCGGCTAATTTTTTGTATTTTGTTAGTAGAGATGGGATTTCATGATGTGTTTTGTGTTTAGTTGAAGGGAAAGTTGAGGAGAGACAGGTGAGAACTTTGGAAAATATGAATCTGAGGTTTCTCCTTTGAGCATGTCGGGTGGTGCGTCAATCTGCGTTTGGCCCTCTCCCCCGCTGACGTCACCCAAGCCTAGTGTTTTAGGACCGTGGGGAGAACCAACCAGAGTTCTGGTGCATTCATTCACTTTGGGGTCCAGATCTCTGTTCTGGTCTCAGATCTTTCTCTGCCAACTTACTATCTAGAGGACCTTTCACAAATTCACTAAATTTCACTTAATTTCCTGAACCTTGACTTTTTTCCCTGTAAATTGGGAGTAATAATAGAAACTACCACAAAAGGTTGTAGTGAGGATTGACTGAATAAATGTTACTTGATTGATTGATGAATAAACAGGATAACTTGTGTAAAGCACTTGGTTTTGATAGACAGGTGTCTCTTACATGTAATAACAATCTCCTATTTCCTGGCTAGTCCAAAACCCCAAGAAATTTGAGGTCTCACGGAGTTTGTGGTATTCAGGTCAGGTGGATATATTTGAGGTATGCTTTTCTATTTTGGATTTTATTTCCTCTTTTCTGTTCCACCATGGTAAATGCCTCCTAGCTGGTAGTGGGTGAAAATCTTTTATCCCACTTCTGGGGAAAGCCACCTTCTGGGGAAAGACCTTCTGTGAGTTAATATCCGGAAACAACTGGTTCCTTTCTTCTTGTCTCCTTCCCCTTCCCACCCTCTTTAGCACCTGTGAAATGTCCTATTTTTCCCCCTTTTCCATATGCAGGCTAATTGGTGACATCAACCAAAGCCCTGAAAGTGATTCTGGCAGAAAACGAACATGTCTCTGCGAAGCAGGTGAAGAGCCCGAGACTTTGGAATAGACACACTGGCAGCGACGGGGATGAGACCTCACCAGGGAGGAGGTGCTAAGCCCAACTGCAGGATGTCTCTGGGTGTCCTCCAGGCACCCCAGCTTTGAAGGCACCCCACCAACCCGGGATCCACAAACGTTTCCGCCAGATGTGCAGCCCTTGGAGCAAGTCGTGAAACAACTGCTTTGAAGATGAAGAGCCCTCGGAGCACGCTAAGTAGCTGTATTATTGTCGTGCAGTGTGTGTCACCCTGCGGAGGATTCAACTCCCAGCACTGTCACCGCTGGGGAATTAGTGAAAGGCAAACTCAGCCGGAAATGCCGAGTGCCAAAAAAGAGGAGCGAATAAAATGCTGGGGGTGGGAGGAAGGGGACGGTGGGTGCCTGAGCTTTGAAATTCTGCCACTGAAAGTTCTCTCCCATGGTTCCTTTTCCAACCCGCCCCGAGTGCAACAACTGGACCCGCCATGTGACAGGCGCTGCAGACGGATCGCGTTTCACACATGCAGCTGTAATATCTGGCACACAGGTGTTTGGTTCTGTGTTTGCCAGCTGCTCTGCAGCGCCCTGCTACAATGGATAGGGGTCGGGGGGAGGGGAACCCTCACACTTGTTGCTGCCAAAAGGGAGGAGGGAGCTGGAGATTCCTGCCCCCCGGCCAAGAGCTCAGCATTTGACTCTGCTTGGGTCTCCCCCAGTGCCTGCTTTAGAGGGTCCTGGGGCCTCTTCTCATGGGCTCACCCAGGACTCGGCTGTGGCTGGCTGGGAGGGCGAACAGGGCGTCTGGGAAACCTCCAAGCAAACTGGCCAGGGCCCCAGGAAGCCAGGTCCGGAGGCAGCGCACCCGGGGATAGGAGGCCACTGGGCTGTTGAGTCAGCTTCCAACTTCACCTCTGAGCAATTGTGAAACCTTGGCCAGGTTTCTTGCCCTGTCTGGTCTTAGTTTCCTAATCTATGAAATGGAGTATGTAACTCCTGATCCACCAGCCCTCGTCTGTGAGGACTCCATGAAGCACTCAGGGAAGCAGCGTTACTTTTGTTATTCCCACCTGGGGAAGGTGGGACGGGGCAGAAACTCACCGGGCTCCTGGGCCATATCCCTGGACCCCTGTCATTGAAGCCTGGCCCAGCTGTTCTGGGTCTGAGGCCCAGATATCACCAGTGTCCAGATATCACACAGATCATTGGTTTTCTGCTCTTTTTCCCTCCTCAGGGAGGAAGAGGCCTGGCCATTCAGGACAGTGAAGTCACCGAAGAAAGGTGGCAGCAGGGGAGACTGGGGGTGGACTCTCCAGCCCGTGCCCGCTGGAAGCCCCTCTCCTTTCCCTTCTTAGCACCTGCCGGATGGAGCGTCTATGCAGCTAGGACTGTTATATGGAGGGTTTTCTCCCGCCGTGGACTCTCTGGAGGCTATGGACTGTCTGCTTTGCCCATCATTCTGTCCCCAACACGTTGTCTGCATGAAGTGAAGATTTGATAACTGCCTGCTAAGGGAGCGAAGGAGTGAGTGGGTGGATGAGTGGGACGGTATTCTCACTGCCACAGCTGCTCCCAGCCCTATTTTAAGGACAGAGAATATGCATATTTAAAGGACAGATGCGTGTCTAATAATCCCAGCATGTTGGGAGGCTGAGGCAGGAGGATTGTTTGAGGCCAGCAGTTTGAGAGCAGCCTGGGAAACATAGTGAGACCTCCATCTCTGCCGCAAACAAAGAAAATTAGTCCAGCATAGTGGAGTGCACCTGTAATCTCAGCTCGTGGGGAGGCTGGGGCAGAAGGATGACTTGAGCCCAGGAGTTCAAAGCTGTTGTGAGCTGTTATCATGGCACTGCACTCCAGCCTGGGCAACAGAGCAAGACCTCATCTCTTAAAAGAAAAAAGATGGATGCATGATCACACATGACACGTCCAGCTCCACGTCACATGTCACTCCCCAGCCTCAGACCTATCCTTTGCATCCTCTCTCCACCCTTCTTCTGACCCCTTGTCCTGCTTGGCTCCCTGCTAATGTGCCCATGCCTCGCCTTCTCTTCCTACCTCCCCCTCCTGCCCCATCCCCCTGTTCCTTGTCTCTCCTGAGTCTGGGAGTTGGAACTACCCAGGTCACAGCAAGGCTTGTAGGAAGAAGAGTACCATGGGGATCCCAGAGGGCTAAGGCCCAGCCAAGCTCTGTGCTTTGGACATGGAGACTAGCGGTTGTCTTTCTGGGTTTGCAAACTTTGTGAAATGAGCATCGTCTGCTCTGTATCCTTCTTGTGCATATTTTAAAAGACTCCACCCAGCCTCATCTCTTTCAAGGAGTTTGTTCCCCACTAACTGGGCTGGACAGGTGAGAATGCTCTTGCTACAATCTTCCCCAGTTCTAGGCCTGGCTCATGCGTGACCTATATATGCTAAGCTAGATGTCCTGTACTTGCTAATCTAGATATCCTCTACATGCTAAGCTGGATGTCTCTCCCAGAAGGGCCGCCTCTCTAGCTAAAACCCTCTCAACTACCCTTCTACAGTTATTGCCAGTGTGCAATTTATTTTCCCTTCTGGACCTTCGAAGGAAACTGATGTTTATTGAGCGCCTGCTGTGTGCCAGATATTGTGCTTAGCACCTTATACCAACAAGTCATTGAAGTGGCCGCTGTCACTCTCCCTGACTTCACAGATAGGAACACTGAGGAACGGAGACAGGAAAACTCTCCCAACATCATACAGCTGGTAAAGGGCAGAAGTGGGATTTGAATCCTAGTCTGTAGGATTCCTAAGCCTTTGCTCTTGCTGTGCCATTCAGAATGGGGATAAGTGAACAGCCGTGGGCTCAGGGCCTGCATCCTTTCTCTCCAGGTAGCAGTGTCCTCTTGGGCCATAATGCCATTCATTTGTTCAGTCATTCATCCAGCAAGTAGGCACTGGACAACTACTGGGCACCAGGCTCTGTTCTAGTAGCCAGAGATAAACTGGATGGACAGGTCTCCCTTCTAAAAGTTTATAACACAGCACAGAGGCAAAGGTTAAATGGATAAGCACCCAATTTAATTAATTGGTTGGTTATAATGGTACTAAGTCCTATGAAGGAAAAGTGTGCTGTGTTGGGAGAAGCTTGTCTGGGGAAATCAAGTCAGGCTGCCCTGAGGAATGGACAATATTTCCACCTTTGCTGTCAACCAGGCTAGCATCTTAAAGGGTAGTAACTCCAGGTGAGGACAGTGTCCCAGCAGACAGGGGAGGAGTGCCCACACGGTCCCATTTCAGACAGACGTTGGCTGATCAGGCATCACCCAAGTCCTCATGTTCAGCTCTGAAAGGATTACAAGCATGTTTAAAAATACCTAAGGGAGGAGATCCCCTCATCAGAACAGGACCCGTGATATTTCGGCACTTGCTGGCCCGTGGGCAGACACTGCTTCTGTTTGGGTCTGTATTTTTCCTGATGCCTGAGGGATAGTCCCGGTGACCCTCACTGCGGCCACTTCACCAGGAATGGAAAATCACTTGCTGAAAACATAAACAGAGCATATAATAATTGGCAAGACACAGGCAGCTAATCACCATTCTCTCTCCCCCTGCCCTTCCCCTGATCCTGTTTATGAGACATATTCTCCATGTTTTCTACCACATGCTTGCTTTTCTCTTGAAAACATACAGAGCAGCTCTTAGAAGCTCTCTACTTAATCCAGGTAGAATCTCCCCGTGGGCATAGATGGCAGCCCAGGCAGGCCTCAGTGAAGAGTCTGCAGAGCCCCCTCGGTGACGAGAGGGACCACAGAGAAGGCAGAAGCAGAGGATAAGCCCAGGTACCTCCGGGCTCTCCCTCCTTCCCTGAGGACTTTGGTTTCTGATGGGGTAGAATGAGGCCCCCCTTGGGTCCCTCTTCTTCATCATCCTAACAAACCTGCAAAGCTTCCTTTACTGTTGCCTTCGGAAACTCCTTCCAGAGTTGTTCCGGGCAAGCTGGACATCAGATCTCTATTGATTTTTGTTCCTTCCAAGATATGAGCTAGCCAGAGGGACATACGAGATGCTTAGCCCACCTTTTCCACTATCAAGGTGTTTAGGGCACTCTGGGCTGCATAAAGGGAAACAGTGAGATATTTTCCACAAAATCCCAGAAAGGAGCAGTGGCTTCCAATCTTGTCCTTACTCGGCCAGGCACGCAGCTGAGCCTGGCACAGATAGGTCGATACATCTCTCCCCAGACCACTCTAGGATCACCAGGACTCAGGAGAAGGAACGCCACTCCTTCCCACAAAGCGTCTGGGACCCTGGTTTACAGAGTCTTGACTTCCAAGCAGCCAACCCTCCAGGTGAATCACAATTCAGCCCCTGGAAAAGAATAGGGAGACTCAGGCTGGGAGATCGGCTCTCAGTGGCTAGAAGGCCATGTAGTGAGCTCAGCTGACTTAAAATATCCCACACGATGCTGCTTTACCTGGTTGGAAAACAAATGGGTAATCCACTGGCTTGTTGTGTCCACATGATGAAAAACTACCAGTGGAATTGTTTTGTTTTCCAATGACTTCACTTGAGTAGCTGTTTTGGCTGTTGAACACAGCCTCAGAGCACTTTCCTTTTCTTTCGGCATGGATACTTATCCACTCTTCAACCTTTAGCAATCTGTCTACCCTTGAAGCATCAACATCCATATCTATAAATTGGGGTTTTCTCTGAAGAAGAGTGAGTTACCAGATGCGTTGACTTTCGAATGGAAAGGCATAAAGACCGCATGATCCAGCAGTTGTTATTTTATTTTTGTTTCTTTGGTGCCCACGGTCCGTTCACTTTTCATCCAGCAGTTACCTTGTTGCTGACTCCAGTTTCCTTGGGACCATTTCTCCACAACTCAAGGGATTTTCTTTCTTCTTGGTGACTCTGCAGATGTGAGGTGGTGGGAACACGAGGGGGTGTCATGAAATCTTAAGCTTGGAAGAGTTGATGGGAGGTCGTTTAACCTATGTCCCCTGAATACTCTCAAATTACCCCAAGGTTTTTTTTGTGGGTAATTTCTTTGTTTTTGAGACAGGGTGTTGCTGTGTCACCCAGGCTAGAGTGCAGTGGTGCCATCACGGCTCACTGCAGCCTTGACCTCCTGGGCTCAAGAGCTTCTCCCACCTCAGCCTCACGGATAGCTGGGACTACAGACGTGCGTCACCACCCCCAGCTAATTTTTAAATTTTTTGTAAAGATGGGGTCTTGCTGTGTTGTCCAGGCTGGTTTAGAATTTCTGGGCTCAAGCAGTTCTCCTGCCTTGGTCTCCCAAGGTGTTGGGATTACAGGTATGAGCCACCACGCCAGGCTTCATCCTATTTTAAGCAACCATATAATGTGTGTCATCTCAGCCCTCATGGTCTGGAGGTTTGTGAGGAAAATTGCTTTTTTGGGGGGCACCCAATTTTCCCATTTTCCTGTGCCATCTACACCTGGTCAGTACAGACTGGTCTGCAGGAGCCGGGAAGAGCTCTAGAGGTCTGTTTACAGATCCTTCCTTCTTTTAAAAAGGAAGTGTGTGTAGGTATGTTTATATCTCTTTGACTAATATATGAGTGTGGCATTTGATGATCTCAAACAATAAATTACCTAATAGCCTGGAACTGACTCATGAAGCCCTCCAGCCCCCACACACTTTTTAGCTCCCACTGAGAAGAGCTCTGTGAAGATCAGATTTTTTGTTTCACCCAGTCCCTTTCGATATGCAGATTTGGAATTTGGAAATTGATCCACCCTTTTCCTGAGAAAAATGGAATAGACCACTCTACAGGCTCCGTGACAAAGAAAGATGTTAAATGCATTTAGGTACTAAAAGACTCTCTGGAAACAGACTTGTGTATTTTGTTTTTTACACTGACATTTGCCATATTGTGCATTTGAGATCACTGGAGAGGTCTACCCTCTTTTTCCTGGGAGAGTTAAGAAGAGCTGCTGTCTATTGAAATGTGGGTGAAACTAGTTCATAATCCACTCCCAGTGATAAGTCAGATCTGCGCTATTGTTTTCATCAACCCTCTGAGAGATGCCACAGGTACCAGGAGGTTTCTTTAGTTCAGTGAAAATTGAGGCCAAGTTTATAATTTTTTAAATTGACTTTATTTTGCAGGGGGCAGTTTTAGGTTCACAGCAAAATTCAGAAGGTACAGAGATTTCCTCTATTCTCTTTGCCCATGCACCTCCCCGCCCCTTCCACAGAGTAGCCTCCTGTGTTGTCAACATCTCCCACCAGAGTGGTACATTTTTTACAGTGGATGAACCTACATTGACATATTATCACCCAGAGTCCATAGTACCATAGCATTATTTTCTTTTAAAGCAGGGTCTCACTCTGTCACCCAGGCTGGAGTGCATTGGTGAGATCATAACTCATTGTAACTTGGAACTCCTGGGCTCAAGGGACCCTCCTGCCAGTCTTCTCAGTGGCTGGAACTACAGGTGGGTGCCATCAAACCTGGCTAATATTTAAGATTTTTTTTGTAGAGACATAGTCTCACTATGTTACCCAGCTGGTCTCCAACTCCTGGGCTCAAGCTTTTCTCCTGCCTAGGCCTTCCAAAGTGCTGGGATTACAAGTGTGAGCCACTACACCTGGCCTCATAGTACTCTAGCATTTTGACCATTTGTCAAGCCCCTCTTCAGAGCTGCAGGGAAGAAGCCCTCTCTCTTTTTCCCATGACTATTCCTGGGTATTGGAGATAACCATTGTGTCTTCAAAAGCCATGCACTCTTCTCCAGGAAGGCTGTATCCCCTGGATCCAAACCACTTAGAGAGGGATCTTTTTGGCTGGGCATGGTGGCTCACACCTGCAATCCCAGCACTTTGGGAGGCCGAGCAGGTGGATCACCTGAGGTCAGGAGTTCAAGATCAGCCTGGCCAACATGGTGAAACCCCTGTCTCTACTAAAAATACAAAAAAAAAATAGCTGGGCATGGTGGAAGGCACCTGTAATTCCAGCTACTCAGGAGGCTGAGGCAGGAGAATAGCTTGAACCTCGGAGATGGAGGTTGCAATGAGCTGAGGTCGTGCCATTGCACTCCAGCCGGGGAGACAAGAGTGAAACTTAAAGAAAGAAAGGAAGAAAGAAAGAAAGAGAGAAAGAGAGAAAGAGAAAGAAAGAAGAAAGAAAGAAGGAAAGAAAGAAAGAGAGAGAGAAAGGGAGAGAGAGAAAGAGAAAGAAAGAAAGAAGGAAAGAAAAAAGAAAAAGAAAGAAATAAAGTAAGAAAGGGAAAGAAAGAGAAATAAAGAAAGAAAGGAAGGAAAGGAAAGGAAGGGTGGGCTCCTTTTGGCTTTTACCCAATCAAGAACTCCTAGTGCCGGCAGCGTGTGTGCCTGGCCCCTGAGTCCTCCGTGACTCCAGCCTGCTGAGCAGGCTTCCTGTAGTCTTCTGGTACCAGCTCTAATGCTTCCTTTCCTTGTTGAAAATAATTGAGAATTGATTATATACCACCTTAACAACACGTCTGTTGGGAGGCCTGGGGTTCTCAGCTCTATCTCTGGATTTCTGTGAAAAAGTTCAATTAGGGTAAAAATATTAAGCAGAAATGTGAACACAGGAAGCCAGAAGTGGTTGCGTAGTCTCCCGGGCCATGATGCAATACCTACAGAAGACAAAGAGGAACTGCTGGGACGACTTTGGTCCTTGGAGTTTGTCAGGAGAATAGAGCAGTACTAGTTTTATTGAAGGATATGGCAAGTTCTACTGACACAAAACCTCATAAATTAAGACCCTCGACCAAGGAGGTTCTTGAGAAAAAAGCAGTTTCACATTAACATGAGACCAGTAGCTGGTCTATTAATGGCCCTCCAAAACACACTCCTCAGCATTCTAATTCCTCTTTAATAACATGTCATCACAGTTATTAAAATCTGCAGTTTTCTCATCAAAATGGGTTCTATTTTTGACTTGTGCCACCACTGGGGAGAAAGAGTTGATTGTATTTAATGAGCAGATTTCATTCTACTTCTAGGTCCTGTCCACTTTTTGCGTAGTAGGTAGTATTTTCTGAGTGTTCCTAATAAGAATTCTAATAAAATAAAATTTGATGATAAAAATAATAATCAAGGAGGATATGAGTGCTGAATCATTGAACTCGCCATTGGCAGAAGCTCTGTTCTTGCTGGAGGCCGCAGTAGCTGTCTAGCCTTATGGGGACTGGTGAAGGGGCCCAGTAGAGCCTGTTCATGTCCCTTCCTTCCCACTACCATGACCCAAATCACACCTTCGTGCTGAGACTATTACCCATGCCCCTTTCTGATCTCCCTGTTTCTGTTCTTCCTCATCCATCCTTCCCAGTTGTCAAACTACTTTTCCTAAAGCATTGCTTTGAGGTTGTCACTCCCCTCCTCAAATCACCCTTCATTTATAGCGGCACTTCTTACACTCTGTAAAAATTAATTCCATTTCAGGGAATATTTTCCATGAAAAAAAAATAAACAATTTTGTAGACCAAACAAAATTTAAGAGTTTCTTTACAGCAGGACTTTTTGGAGCCTTGAGATGCTAATAAGCTTGGCAAATTGTCAGGCGAGTCCCCCAAATTTACTTGACTGGGATCCTGGCAGGAAACAAAAGTGTGAATAGAGCAAGAAAACCGGCAAGGGGATGATGAGGCACCCGGGGACTGGCAACAGAGGGAAGCTGCTCCCACCTGAGGCTCTACCAGGAGGGAAGAGAGCAGAGCCCGGCGGCAAGGAGCCTGGGGAATAAATACGCTGGCTTTTTCCTCTCTCAATCCCTCATACCGACTGAACCCAACCCAAAGCCAAAGGGCATGAGAGTCCAGATCACATGGTAGAGGCCAGACTTCCAGGGAACAGAATGAGACAAGGAAGGATGGAGAATGGGATCCAGCCCCCATCCCTCATGGAACATCTGTGAACATCTGGGAAAACACTAGGTTTTTCCAATGACACCAGCATAAAGCATCAAGTCTGCCCTGCTAGGCTGGGTGTTTGAGGCCCCCACATCATCAGCTTACACCAAGCTCCCTTTCTTGTCACCTCCCCACGCTACCGTGCCACAAACCCCTGCCTCTACGAAGCTGGGGAACACATCCTCGACTTTCAGGCCTCGGCCTCTGGCTCCCATCATTCCCCTTGTGGAGAGAGCCATCATTTGCAATTCTCAGCTAATGTCCATCCCTTTTTTCTTCTCCTCTAGGGACATCGCTGGCCACTGCAGATAAAAGTTCACTCTTAACTGGCCTCAGTGGCAGGGACCACTGTTTCCAAGTTAAAGTAGCCACTGTCTGAAAGATGAAAGCCTGCGGCTTCCAGGAGTGAGAGGCAATCGGAGAGATGGTGTTTAGGTGTCCCTAAATGTCAGAAACAATGGAACCTTTCAGCGGCTTTGGGGGAAAGAATATTTGAGATCAGGGCTGTCCTGGGAGACTCAGAAGCTTTGGCCAGGGACCTTCTGCACTTTCAACCCAGGTTACTGATTTTGCCCTTACTCTGATTTGCACTTACATTGGGAGTCCACTTAATCGTGAGCAATGTTCCATCCCTTCTTTCTGTGAGAAGCTCTGTGATCCTTGAGTCCACAGATGCTTGCCGTTTTTCCCCTTGCCCTGAGCTGTCACGGTAGTATGGGTACAGGGTAGATGCCCCAGAGGCGCTGGGAGTGGGCTTGAAGAAGCAGCCAGCAGTGAGTTGCTGCATAGAAAAGAGAGATGCCATTTCTGTTTAGGGAGTTCATTTTTCTGGAGACCAGGATGAAGCCGTGCCTGGATCTCCCCAGCCACTGGCCAGCAGACTGTGTGCTGCAGGGACCACAACGAGTGGAGGCTGGGGAGCCGGGACAGCAAGGCTCGCAGTGCAGCAGGAGGGGCCCTCGAGCCTTGACTGGGGTCCCCAGCTCTCTCTCCTTCCTCCTCTCTGGGTTCAGGAGCTGCAACAACAGCTCTCTTTCACAGCCAGCCGACTCCCCCACACCATTCTGTTCTCTTGTCTGAATTTCAGTTTAACTGGATAGCAGATGAAAGAACCTCTGGCCACCACCTCCCGATTCAGCAAGAGGCTACTTGGGAGAGAGTGTGATGTTTCGTGGGAACTGAGGATTCAGGAATGTTAATCTCCCTTTGCCTATACTTACATCAACATGCAGGCTTCAGTATTCCAATAATTTCCACATTATCTGAGCTTTTGCAAATTATCTGATTGGTGGGTGTACAAGCTGGTGCATAACAGCTGGAATGACACATCCCACAAAGGGGCTGTGCTACAGGTTTCAGATTTTAAGAGAATCAATGAAAAGAATTGCATTCTGTGTAGCATAACATTTTGGGTTTTTTTTTTTTTTTGAGACAGAGTCTTGCTCTGTTGCCCAGGCTGGAGTACAGTAGCCCATCTTGGCTCACTGCAACCTCCGCCTCCCAAGTTCAAGCAATTCTCCTGCCTCAGCCACCCAAGTAGCTGGGATTACAGGCATGTGCCACCACACCTGGCTACTTTTTGTGTTTTCAGTAGAGACCAAGTTTCACCGTGTTGGCCAGGCTGGTCTCCCAACCTCAAGTGATCCGCCCGCCTCGACCTCTCAAAGTGCTGGGATTACAGGCGTGAGCCACTGCGCCCAGCCCTTGGCAGCATAAAGTTCTAAGGAGACTTTAGGCCCTCAGTTCTTCAGGCTGTTTAGGAGGCTCTTGTCTAAACCTCAATCTTTTATATGTACATATATAAAATTTTTTTAAAATTATACTTGAAGTTCTAGGGTACATGTGCACAACGTGCAGGTTTGTTACATATGTATACATGTGCCTTGTTGGTGTGCTGCACCCATTAACTGGTCATTTACATTAGGTATATCTCCTAATGCTATCCCTCCCCGCTCCCCCCACCCCACAACAGGCCCCGGTGTGTGATGTTCCCCTTCCTGTGTCCAAGTGTTCTCATCGTTCAATTCCCACCTATGAGTGAGAACATGCGGTGTTTGGTTTTTTGTCCTTGTGATAGTTTGCTGAGAATGATGTCAACCTCAATCTTGATGTGTCTGAGGGAAGATGCTTCACTTTGCAGTGAATTAACTCTGTGTGTGTATGTGTGTGTGCCCTCGCGTGTGAGTGTGTGATATTGGTGTTGGGGAATAGATAGACAAGGTTAACCCAGAGTAATTGTTATAGTCCCAGGGATTAATTTTCAATGTTGATACTCAGAAATGAGTCTTTGCTATTTTTCCATGTCCTCTTTATTTTTTCAAGATTTCTATGAGGTTACTTTATTATATAGTTTTGACTTTATTATTAAAATTAAAAAATTTTTTTCAATAGCTTTTGGGGTATAAGTGGTTTTTAGTTACATGAGTGAATTGTCTAGTGGTGAAATCGGACATTTTAGCACAGTGGTCACCCAAGCAGTGTACATTGCTCCCAATATGTGGTTTTTATCTCTCACCTCCTTCCCGTCCTCCCCCTTCTGAGTCTCTGAAGTCCATTATTTCACACTGTCTGCCTCTGTGTACCCATAGCTTAGCTCCCACTTATAGGTGAGAAGGTATCATATTTGGTTTTCCATTCCTGAATTACTTCATTTAGAGCAATGGCCTTCAGCTCCATCCAAGTTGCTGCAAAAGACATTGTTTCACTCTTTTTTGAGGCTGAGTAGTATGCCATGGCGTATATATACCACGTTTTCTGTATCCACTCATTGATGGATGTGCACTTAGGTTGGTTCCTTATCTTTGCAATTGTGCCATAATGAACATATGCATGCAGATGTCTTTTTGATATAATGACTGCATTTCCTTTGGGTAAATACCCAGTAATGGGACTGCTGGATCAAACGGTAGATCTGCTTTCAGTTGTTAAGAAGCCTCCATGCTGTTTTCCATCGAGACTTACTCACTTACATTCCCACCAGCTGCGGATGAGCATTCCTTTTTCACCACCTCCACGCCAACATCTATTGTTTCTTCACTTTTCAAGAACGGCCACTCTTGCAGGAGTACAGTGGTATCTCATTGTGGTTTTAATGTGCATTTTCTTGATATTTTTCCCTGTTCTATTTAAAGGTTTCCCTTTCTCTCGGGTGAGGTTAGAAGAAATAAAGAGGTGACCAACGGGAGGGCTCACCTTCCTGAACCTGCAGATGAGCTTCCTGGGCAGCATCTCTGCTTTTAGTTGGAAACAGAGCCTTCCTGCCCCAGCACGGTCCCTCTCCCTGCGGACAGAGCATGGACAGTGCTGCCCTCTGTGTGCCCTGCTGGGCTGCCCAGGAGGAGGGGGAAGGGAAGGGGAACAGGCAGGTGACAGTGCACAGTTATTTTCCTGCTGCCATCCTGGAAGATGCAGAGGGTCGCAGGAAATCACAGCAGTTCTGTGTCCTCCTCCACTCTCTACACAAACCCCTGGGTCCTGCCACCAGTCCCTGCAGACAGTGGATCACTGGTTAAGGAGTGCAGTGATTCAGGCTCCTCTCTGTGTCGGTAGGGTCCCCAGTAGGAGTGATGCTTCCCCCACCCATTGCTGCCACGAGCCGGGAGCCAGCACCTTCTTTCCTTCCTTGGTTGCAGTGTAGGGAGCCTTGGACTCTAGATGCTTGGTGAGCTCTTCCTCCTGGGCTGGGCACCAGAGGAACCATTTCTCCTGGGGGTGATGCTTCCCTAGCCCATCCCTGCCCACTCCTGCCCCTATTCCCAGAAGTAGATGTGTCTCCTCCTCCTTCCCTTCCTCACCCTCAGGGCAAACCCAATTTCCCCAGCACTGGGCCTGGCACTGGAGCCCCTTGTCTTTTAACTTGGCTTTTTCACATTGCAGCACTTTAACCCTAAGGAAACACCTACAAACCCTGGGGACCAGGTGAAGGACTGCAAAACCTTTCTGTTAACTATGTCTCAGGCTCTGATTGATTTTTCACTCACTCAGTCATGCCATGGTCACATGCAAGATGGGCAGGAGAGCAGCAAGGAGGCTATTTCTGTCATATATTTCCAGTCCTTTTTTTTTTCATTTAACACATGTTTTGAGTGTCAGTCATTTACAAGGTTCTGAGCTTAGAACTTCAGAGAACCCCCAAATGCTTAAGTCCCTGCTGTCAAGAAATTTGACATTTAGAGGGGCTAATGGAATAAACATCACCCCCAGGCAAGGCAGACCAGCGTAAGTGGCCCCAGAAAGGACCTCATGGGTCCAGGGAGAAACGCAGCAACCCTCTCCTAGAAGAGCTCAACTCGTGGGTCCCAGGAACTGCACATTTGAGTGTATTCTTTCACTCGTGATCTCCATCTCCCAAGTTGGTGCCTGCTTGTTGCAATCCAAGAAAATGGGTTGGACACCTGTCTGGGGACCCTGGAGGGAAGTCCTGGATCTGGGAGGGAGCCTCGGGCCTTCTCCCTTCAAGCTGGATTTGTCAGGAATATTTCACTCTATACCAAGACTGACACAATTCTTTCTGAATTTCCATTTTCCTGGGAAACGCCGCTGGAAACACAGAAACTCTTTTGATAACGAGAGATGAACAAGTTTGGAAACAAGAGCTTCTCTCTTTTTCCCTTTTTCTTCTTGGCGGCATCTTCTGTCTGCTCCACGAGTGCAATTCTGCAGGTGAGATAGCATTTCATTTTTTTCTATAGAGATGCTGTTTCTCACATCCTCCCTCTGGCCTCTCTCCTTAATTTGACAAAGAATCTCAAAGAAGCCAGTTACTTGATGTGGGGCAGAGGCTGGGAGACAGCATTTACATCGTACATTCCCCAGCGCCCAGGCCCTGAGGCTGGCGAGATTTCGTCTCCCAGCTCCTCCCCGCCCCTGCCACATTCAGCTTCCAGATCACAAAAGCACACAGTGTCGTCCACTCACTGATTGGCGTGGCCTGATAGGCACCTCTCACAGTGGGCGCTTTGTGCTTCTCCCTCCAGACAATTGGCAGGAGAGTCAATAGCCACACAGTCTCCTGGGATCTGTCCCTTGGTTCATTCCAGCCACACTGGAGTCTTTCCACCCCGTGCTGCCAAGGGTTCCTCCTTCAGGGCAGGGTCAGCACCACCCCTGGGTGAGGAGAGCCGAGAGGACGGATTCCAAAGCCACCCTGTTGACAAAAGGGCTAGAAAGAGATGGGCCAACTCCCCAAACTCTGTGACTGGAAAGCAAAGTAGGAAAACAAAGATTATGGATGTGCAACAGGGCTTTGATTTATTTGATTTTGATTATTTGGTGAAGAACTATTGACCGGAGGGAGATGAACATCCTTACTGGGAACTGTCTAGTAACCAGGTGTGAAGGAGGGCCGGTGTGAAGATGCTGGTGTCTCAGCATGCCTGCTGCCCTCCTTTTCAGTCTTCCTGGTGCTGAGATATTCTGTGCTGCTTCCCAAACTCCTCTCCCACCTGCACCTGCCCACATGCTGCTGAAAGTGCTGGATGGCATAGACTTTTACATTATGTAAGAACATGTATTATTGGACATTCTTGCTACCAACATCCAGCCCACATCTAAGCTCCAGATCTTTTTGGAATCATTCCAATGTCAAACTCAAAGTAAAACAAAATTGATTTTGAAAACCTTTTTGAGTTTCTGTACTCACTCACCCCGTAACAACTAGAACCTCCTGCCCACTGGTGTCCTGGCCCAAAGGCGGGGACTCCCTCTCCAGCAGGGCACTGACAGACCCTAGCCTGCGGCTCCAGCATTCTTAGCCTGTTTATTACAGGCCTGAGATGTGCTCCTTTCATGCTTTTTAATGTCACCACTGAGTTGGGGGCAAAAATATGAGCCAACTTGCAGGAGTCCCTAGAGTGTGTAAATCCCTGAAAGAGGTGCACGTGTGCAACGTTGTATTGACTTCTAAGGCCCCACCATGTGTGTACACGCAGTCATACTGGATCCTCACAAAAGCCCTGGGAGGTTCAATACACTTGTCCTCATTGTCAAAGGAGGAAACCGAGGGTTGCTGGAGCTCAGGGATGTGAAGTCCCTTCCCGAGTTAGAGCAGAGTGGCTGTTTGAACTATGATGTCCTGTTCACTCATTCTCGTCCCCTTTTACCAGGCATCATGCTTCCAGAGCCTGCTCTTGGATTCCAGGCCAAGACAAGAAGGAGGAAGAAGCAGCCCCTGAGGATTGCTGTACAGAAAAACATGTCCTGTGCTCCTCCATCACTCCTCCATCCTTCAGCTCCTTAGATTTACGCTTCTTCCCTCCTGAGGGCCTGGGAACAGAACTGCCCCAGTCAGCAACAGGAAGGCCCAGAAAAGCAGGCATCTGCCATGGTGGCATTCCTCAGCTCACGACCTGTCCCGGGCCTGCACGCAGACACCTCCTCTCTCAGGCACCACACCGCTGCCTGATCCTTTCTTCTACCCTGAGACTTGGAGGACACAAGTGTGACTTACTGACATTGTTTCTTGTGGCACTTTAGCCACTGGCTCTCCCTTTAAAAAGTCTTTGGATTCAGGGCTGGGCGTGGTGGCTCACACCTGTAATCCCAGCACTCTGGGAGGCCGAGGTGGGCGGATCACAAAGGTAGGAGATTGAGACCATCCTGGCTAACACAGTGAAACCCTGTCTCTACTAAAAATACAAAAAAATTAGCCAGGCGTGGTGGCGGGCGCCAGCTGCTCGGGAGGCTGAGGCAGGAGAATGGCGTGAACCCTGGAGGCGGAGGTTGCAGTGAGCCGAGATCGTGCTACTGCACTCCAGCTTGGGTGACAGAGCGAGACTCCATCTCAAAAAAAAAAAAAGTCTTTGGATTCAGATGCTGGTGCCATGCTTGCGCAGCCTGCAGAACCATGAGCCATGTAAACCTCTTTTCTTTGTAAATTACAAGTCCTACATATTCCTTCATAGCAACACAAATGCACGAATACAACACTTTACCTATCTTATTCTCATGCCAACTTTATGAAGGACAGATGGACCATTCCACAGATGAAGAAACTTAAGAGTCTTTGCAGCAGTTATAGCCTCTGGTTTCTGTTTTTAGAAACAGCAAAAACAACATGAAAGGACAGCCCTTCTCTGATAAGGGACCCACCTGATAACACTGGCTTCCCTTCCTCAGACCACGGCAGGCCTCGAAGAGAAAGCTCTTTATACTGCCCAGGTAGGCTTGGGCACCTGGGGTCACACCCCTTCCTCTGCCCACAGCTTTCCGAGGACTGTGTCCCTTCTGCCAACCTTGCCTAGGCTCTCTGCAACTTGTGGTCCAATATATATACAAAGGCTGATACATAATTATGTATATATATAGCCACACACAAATATATATACTTACATGCATATATGTATACGATATATACATATATTTATACACATATTCACTTATATACAGTACATATACATACACCTATATGTATAGGTATGGATATATGCATTTACATATATAGATATACATATGCATTAGTACACATATATGTGTGCACATATAGCTGAATAAAAACATATGTACATTCCCATCTTTTATTGGTTCTTACTATGCGCCCTTGCTACAAACTGTGCTAAACACTTGATATAGTTTGGATGTCTGTCACCTCTGAATCTCAGGTTAAAATGTAATTTTTCAGTGTTGGAGGTGGGGCCTGATGGGAGGTGTTTGGGTCGTGGAGATGGATCCCTCGTGAATGGCTTGGTGCCATCCTCTTGGTGATGAGTGAGTTCCCACTCTTCCCAGTTCACGTGAGATCCGGCTGTTTAAAGGAGCCCGGCTCCTCCTCCTCCGCCTCTTGCTCCCTTTCTTACCATGTGACACGCATGGCAATTTTTCCTTCTGCCATGACTGGAAGCTCCCTGAGGCCTCACCAGAGGCCAAGCAGATGCTGGTGCCATGCTTGCACAGCCTGCAGAACCCGAGCCATATAAACTTTTCTTTTTCTTTTTTCTTTGTTTTCTTTTGAGACGGAGTCTCACTCTGTCACCCAGGCTGGAGTGCAGTGGTGTGATCTCGGCTCACTGCAAGCTCTGCCTCCCGGGTTCAAGTGATTCTCCTGCCTCAGCCTCCCCAGTAGGTGGGATTACAGGTGCCTGCCATGATGCCCACTAATTTTTTGTATTTTTAGTAGAGACGAGGTTTCACCATGTTGGCCAGGCTGGTCTTGAACTCCTGACCTCGTGATTCACCCGTCTCAGCCTCACAAAGTGCTGGGATTACAGGCGTGAGCCACTGTGCCCGGCACCTCTTTTCTTTATAAATTACCAGTCTTATGTATTCCTTTATAGCAATGCAAATAAACGAATATAACACTTTTCTTATTTTATGCTCACACCAACTTTATGAAGTTTGGAAGGACCATTCCACAGATGAAGGGACTAAGGCCAGGAGACGTTAGTCAGCTCCCCAGGGTTACATGGCTAGCAAGTGGCATAGCAGGGATTGAATCCGGTGCCTCCTCACTCCAAGCACCATGCTCTCCTCTATGCTATTCCCCTAGCCCTTCACAGCCCAGTGTGCCCCTGGGATGAAACCCTCAGCCCTCCAAGGGTACCAGGCAGGCACTGGCTTGGATTCCCTTTGGGGTAAACCAGTGTGGCCACATTCTTGCTCTTTTCCCAGACCTGAACTTTTTTCCTTCCTATTCACTAATGTTATCAAAACAAACAGAGAGCATGGTTTATGGTGCATGAGGCTTAATTTGACTTAATATATAGACCGCACATATTCCTCAGGAATCCATTAAGTTTAATTGAGTGCAGGCTGTAGACCACGTCCGAGGAAGGACCCGGGTCATCTACAGTTCACATGGCAGAAATGAGTGAGTCACTCGTTGATGGCACAGCCAGGGCTGGATTACCTTGCGGCTTCCTTCCTTAAATGGCCAGAGATTCCAACTGCTGCGTGAATAACAAAGGCCTTAATGTCCCAT